>NC_000010.11:313030-464545 GCF_000001405.40 Homo sapiens | reverse complement strand
TAATTTACACTTCCCTCAGTGGTGTTTCTTCACATCCTCTCCAGCATCTGTTGTTGCCTGACTTTTTAATGATAACCATTCTAACTGGCGTGGAATGGTATCTCATTGTGGTTTTGATTTGCATTTTTCTAATGACCAGTGATGATGAGCTTTTTTTTTTTTCTAAGTTTGTTGGCCACATAAATGTCTTCTTTTGAGAAGTGTCTGTTCATAACCTTTGTCCACTTCTTGATGGGGTTGTTTTTTCTTGTAAATTTGTTTAAGTTCTTTGTAGATGCTGGATATTAGCCCTTTGTCAGATGGATGGATTGCAAAAATTTTCTCCCATTCTGTAGGTTGCCTGTTCACTCTGATGGTAGTTTATTTTGCTGTGCAGAAGCACTTTAGTTTAATTAGATGCCATTTGTCAATTTTGGCTTTTGTTGCTATTGCTTTTGGTGTTTTAGTATTGAAGTCTTTGGCCATGTCTATGTACTGAATGGTTTTGCCTAGGTTTTCTTGTAGAGTTTTTATGGTTTTACGTCTTACGTTTAAGTTTTTAAACCAATTTGAGTTAATTTTTGTATAAGGTGTACAGAAGGGGTCCAGTTTCAGTTTTCTGCTTATGGCTAGCCTGTTTCCCCAACACCATTTATTAAATAGGGAATAATTTCCCCATTGCTTGCTTTTTGTCAGGTTTGTCAAAGATCAGATGGTTGTAGATGTGTGGTGTTCTTTTCTGAGGCCTCTGTTCTGTTCCCTTGGTCTATATCTCTATTTTGGTACCAGTACCATGCTGTTTTGGTTACTGTAGCCTTGTCTATAGTTTGAAGTCAGGTAGTGTGATGCCTCCAGCTTTGTTCTTTTTGCTTAGGATTGTCTTGGCTATGTGGGCTCTGTTTTTTGGTTCCATATGAAATTTAAAGTAGTTTTTTCCAATTCTGTGAAGAAAGTCAATGGTAGCTCGATGGGGATAGCATTGAATTTATAAATTACTTTGGGCAATATGGCCATTTTCATGATATTCTTCCTATCCATGAGCATGGAATGATTTTCCATTTGTTTGTGTCTTCTCTTCTTTCCTTGAGCAGTGGTTTATAGTTCTCCTTGAAGAGGTCCTTCACATCCCTTGTAAGTTGTATTCCTAGGTATTTTATTCTCTTTGTAGCAATTGTGAATGGGAGTTCATGATTTGGCCCCCTGTTGGTCTATTATTGGGGTATAAGAATGCTTGTGATTTTTGCACATTGATTTTGTATCCTGAGACTTTGCTGAAGTTGCTTATCAGCTTAAGGAGATTTTGGGCTGAGATGATGGGGTTTTCTAAATAACAATCATGTCATCTGTAAACAGAAACAATTTGACTTTCTCTCTTCCTATTTGAATACCCTTTCTTTCTTTCTCTTGCCTGATTGTGGCTAGAACTTCCAATACTATGTTGAGAGAGGGCATCCTTGTCTTGTGCCAGTTTTCAAAGTAATGCTTCCAGTTTTTGCCCATTCAGTATGATATTGGCTGTTGGTTTGTCATAAATAGCTCTTATTATTTTGAGATGTGTTCCATCAATATCTAGTTTATTGAGAGTTTTTAGCATGAAGGGATGCTGAATTTTATCAAAGGCCTTTTCTGCATCTATTGGGATAATCATGTGGTTTTTGTCATTAGTTCTGTTGATGTGATGGATTACATTTATTGATTTGCATATATTGAACCAGCCTTGCATCCCAGGGATGAAGCCTATTTGATCATGGTGGATCGGCTTTCTGCTGGATTCAGTTTGCCAGCATTTTATTGAGGATTTTCACATTGATGTTCATCAGGGATATCGGCCTGACATTTTCTTTTTTTGTTGTGTGTCTGCCAGGTTTTGGTATCAGGATGATGGTGGCCTCATAAAATGAGTTAGGGAGGAGCCCCTCTTTTCTATTGTTTTGGAATAGTTTCAGAAGGAATGCTACCAGCTCCTCTTTGTACCTCTGGTAAGAGTTGGCTGTGAATTCGTCTGGTCCTGGACTTTTTTTGGTTGGTAGGCTATTAATTCCTGCCTCAATTTCAGAACTTGTTATTGGTCTATTCAGGGATTCAGCTTCTACCTGGTTTAGTCTTGAGAGGGTGTATGTGTCCTGGAATTTATCCATTTCTTCTAGATTTTCTAGTTTATTTGCATAGAGATGTTTACAGTATTCTCTGGTAGTTTGTATTTCTGTGGGATCAGTGGTGATATCCCCTTTATCATTTCTTATTGTGTCTATTTGATTCTTCTCTCTTTTCTTCTTTGTCTGGCTAGTGGTCTATCTATTTTGTTGATCTTTTCCAAAAACCAGCTCCTGGATTCATTGATTTTTTTGAAGAGTTTTTCGTGTCTCTGTCTCCTTCATTTCTGCTCTGATCTTAGTTATTTCTTGTCTTCTGCTAGCTTTTGAATTTGTTTGCTCTTTCTTCTCTAGTTCTTTTAATTATGATGTTAGGGTATCGATTTTAGATCTTTCCTGCTTTTTCTTGTGGGCATTTAGTGCTATAAATTTCCCTCTACACACCTCTTTATCTGTGTCCCAGAGATTCTGGTACATTGTCTTTTGTTCTCATTGGTTTCAAAGAACTTATTTATTTCTGCCTTAATTTCATTATTTACCCAGTAGTCATTCAGGAGCAGGTTGTTCAGTTTCCATGTATTTGTGCAGTTTTGAGTGAGTTTCTTAACTGTGAGTTCTAATTTGATTGCACTGTAGTCTGAGAGACTGTTTGTTATGATTTCCATCCTTTTGCATTTGTTGAGTGTTTTACTTCCAATTATGTGGTCAGTTTTAGAATAGGTGCAATTTGGTGCTGAGAAGAAGGTATATCCTATTGATTTGGGGTGGAGAGTTTTGTAGATGTCTATTAGGTCCGCTTGGCCCAGAGCTGAGTTCAAGTCCTGAATATCCTTGTTAATTTTCTGTCTCAATCTGTCTAATACTGACGTTGGGGTGTTAAAGCCTCCCACTGTTACTGTGTGGGAGTCTAAGTCTCTTGGTAGGTATCTAAGAACTTGCTTTATGAATCTGGGTGCTCCTGTATTGGGTATGTATATATTTAGGATAGTTGGCCCTTCTTGTTGTATTGATCCCTTTGCCATTGTGTAATGCCCTTCTTTGTCTTTTTTGATCTTTGTTGGTTTAAAGTATGTTTTATCAGAGACCAGGATTGCAACTCATGCTTTTTTTGCTTTGTAAATATTCCTCCATCCTTTATTTTGAGCCTATGTGTGTCTTTGCACATGAGATAGGTCTCCTGAATACAGCACACCAACGGGTCTTGACTCTATCCAGTTTGCCAGTCTGTGTCTTTTAATGGGGGCATTTAGCCCATTTACATTTAAGGTTAATATTGTTATGTGTGAATTCGATCCTGTCATTATGATGCTAGCTGGTTATTTTGCCCATTAGTTGATGCAGTTTCTTCACAGTGTCAGTGGTCTTTACAATTTGTTATGTTTTTGCAGTGGCTGGTACCAGTTTTTCGTCTCCATATTTAGTGCTTCCTTCAGGAGCTCTTGTAAGGCAGACCTGGTGGTGACAGAATCTCTCAGCATCTGCTTGTCTGTAAATGATTATATTTCTCCTTCACTTACAAAGCTTAGTTTGGCTGGATAGGAAATTCTGGGTTGAAAATTCTTTAAGAATGTTGAATATTGGCCCCCACTCTCTTCTGGCATGTCGGGTTTCTGCAGAGAGATCCGCTGTTAGTCTGATGAGCTTCCCTTTGTGGGTAACCCTACCTTTCTCTCTGGCTGCCCTTAACATTTTTTCCTTCATTTTAATCTTGGTGAATCTGACAATTATGTGTCTTGGGGTTGCTTT
This sequence comes from Homo sapiens, assembly GCF_000001405.40. NCBI lineage: Eukaryota > Metazoa > Chordata > Mammalia > Primates > Hominidae > Homo > Homo sapiens. The sequence continues at coordinate 460,727 of NC_000010.11, read as the reverse complement.
TCTCAAGGAGTATCTTCGTGATATTCTCTGTATTTCTCAATTTGAATGTGGGCCTGTCTTGGTTGGTTGGGGAAGTTCTCCTGGATAATATCCTGAAGAGTGTTTTCCAACTTGTTCCATTCTCCCCATCAATGACTGAATTTTAGCAGCCCAGAAATAATTTTGTTATTGCTTACATAATTGACCTAGTTAATAATTAATCTACTCAGCCATTTAACCTCTACTGGATGTATTTTCTCATTTCATTTCTAAACCCATGACCTTACTTTGTAATGAATTCTTATGAAAGCTCTTCATCATAGTACATATCTTCTCTTTATAAATAGCTTTCTTTTGGAACTTGAGCTTGATTTGGGAAGTAAGTGAATGAGCTGGCATTTATTGAGCACCTAGAATGTATTGGAGTCGATTTTAAGCACTTCATTACCTTTACTTGATAAACTCTCAGTTAGAGCTTAGATTCTAGCTTTAGTTATCACCTTTTTTTCCCCAACCAACAACTCTGGAAAAGAAAACCTGGAGACTTGTGTTGTGCCCATTCCACCCAAGACTGGGAGAGGAAGATCCTAGAGCTCATGTGCAGCATGCCGTTCCCTGATGTGACTGTGAGAGGAAGATCCTAGAGCCCACGTGCAGCACGCGATCCCTTGATGTGACTGTGGGAGGAAGATACTAGAGCTCATGTGCAGCACGCGGTTCCCTGATGTGGCTGTGGGAAGATACTAGAGCTCACGTGCAGCAGGTGGTTCCCTGATGTGACTGTGGGAAGGTCCTAGAGCTCACGTGCAGCAGGTGGTTGGTTCCCTGATGTGACTGGGAAGGTCCTAGAGCTCACGTGCAGCAGGTGGTTCCCTGATGTGACTGTGAGAGGAAGATCCTAGAGCCTACGTGCAGCACGCAGTTCCCTGATGTGGCTGTGGGAAGGTCCTAGAGCTCACGTGCAGCAGGTGGTTCCCTGATGTGACTGGGAGGAAGATCCCAGAGCCCACGTGCAGCACGCCGTTCCCTGATGTGATTGTGGGAAGATCCTAGAGCCCACGTGCAGCACGCCGTTCCCTGATGTGACTGGGAGGAAGACCCTAGAGCCCAGATGAAGGACACTGTTCCCTGATGTGGCTGTGGAAGATCCTAGAGCCCACGTGCAGCATGTGGTTCCCTGATGTGACTGAGAGGAAGATACTAGAACCCATGTGCAGCAGGCCATTCTGTGATGTGGGTGGAGCTACTGCTGTGTCTTTTGATGAACTAAGAACTTCCATGTGTGAGCATGCATGGCTTGGGCTGCCCTCTCAGGGATCAGCATCTGACTTCAGCCTTGCCCCTCCTTTGCAGTAGAATGTCCCGGTCCCGTGTCCTCTGGGACAGCAAGCTTCCAACAGAGCCCAGGGACCCTCAGGGGTTCGAGACCCTCCCAGGGATGTCTGCAGTGTTGTGCTTTCCAGAATGACACGGCCATGTCTCCTGTTGACTCTTTGTCTCCTGAGTGCACAGTGGGTTTTTCCAAGGCTGGCTGTCTGTTTGGGGGTGGGGGAGGGTTCTGAGAGCCAGTGGATTCTGTGACTGTGACATCTTGTTTTTTAAAAAGTTTTGATTTACTTTCTAATGCCACAAATATCAAAATATTAGCCCCACTGGCAAAAGCTTTTTAAGGTTTTCAACAGTCTTTAAAGTGCTCTTTGGGTCAAAGAGTTTGAGAACTATTGTTAGATTTTTAAAGCTTTTTTTTTTTTTTTTTTGAAAAAGTTGAGAGGTAAACTGGAAACTTGTGCTTCTGAACCCATCCTTGAGGCGGATTTTATGCTGAGGATAGTTTAGTGTCAGTTTTGGAAATAGACTTGTGTTCTAGTATTCTTTCAGCAAATGTGCAGGTGATTCTGGGTTCCGAGCACTCTGCTGTGCCCTGCCGGTGAGTCAGGAATGTAGAGGGCATCCTCCTTGCCGTCACGGGGTGCCGAGCACTCTGCCATGTGCTGCCGGTGAGGCAGGAATGTAGAGGATATCCTCCTTGCTGTCATGGGTTCCGAGCACTCTGCCATGCGCTGCTGGTGAGGCAGGAATGTAGAGGACATCCTCCTTGCTGTCACGGGGTTCCGAGCACTCTGCTGTGTGCTGCCAGTGAGGCAGGAATGTAGAGGACATCCTCCTTGCCGTCACGGGTTCTGAGCACTCCGTCACACGCTGCCGGTGACGCAGGAATGTAGAGGGCATCCTTGCCGTCACAGGTTCCAAGCACTCTGTCACGCGCTGCCGGTGAGGCAGGAATGTAGAGGGCATCCTCCTTGCTGTCACGGGGTCATCTGCCATCATGGGGGTCACCGTATAAGTTCCTCCTCTATGCCGAAGTTTAATTTTCTAGACTGAGAAGGTTTATCTTTCCTGAGTCAGTCTGGATTTACTGATTTTGATGAGGTTCCTGTCCTGTGACCTGTGTTCTCTCTGAACAACTCAATTTTCTCATTGATTCCAATACACATAGTGTTACTTCCTTATTTACATCAGAATGATGCTAGGAGAGAAGGCGGCCTACAGTGCGGCCAAGTAGGACTGTGTAGCCACTGTGATGTCCCCAGAGGAGGTGACAGGCTCTGTCTGGTGGGAGCTGCCCTGTCCAGTATGAGGGCAGTAGCCTTGTGGGGCCTTTTACATTTAAATGTGTTAAGATGATATATAAAATCATCCTCCTGCTTCATCACTGCACTTTCGGGCGGGTGGCTGGGCGGCTCTCATGCTGGATGGTGTGGGTGGGACTGTTGCCAGACCTGCAGACAGTCCCCATCACGTGCTGCTCTGGGGCCGCAGCTGTGGGAGGAGAGGCCACAGGCACAGCTGAGGACGCAGCATAAAGATGTCCCACACTACAGAAAGTGACTTTTGGCCAGGTGCAGTGGCTCACGCCTGTAATGCCAGCACTTTGGGAGGCCGAGGTGGAGGAGAGCTTGAAGACAGGAGTTCGAGACCAGCCTGGGTGACAAAGTCAGAGCCCATCTCTACAAACGATGAAAGACTAGCCGGGTGTGGTGGCCACACACCTGTGGTCCCAGCTACCCAGGGGGCTGAGGTGGAAGGATCACTTCAACCTAGGAGCTGGAGGCTGCAGTGAGCTGTTGTCACATCACTGCACCCCACTCTGGGTGACAGAGTGAGACCCTGCCTCTAAAAAGAAAAAAAAGAATTTAATCTTGCTATCTGTGCCTCGTCATTTCTAAAGAGGGAATTTTGGACATATCAATGTAGCAGAAATATATAGGATAGATTGGTTTCATTGGATTGGGTTCCTGACTGAAGGCAGAAACAGGTTAGGGGGCTGTTGTATTTCAGGTGAAAAATGATGAATCAAAATTTGTGAGATGCTGTGGAAATGGTACTTGAATTTATAGACTAAAATCTTTATATTAAGTCAGAAGACATCTTGGAAACTGAAGAAATAAGCATTTATCTTAACATGTTAGAAAAAATTAAGTCCACAGAAGGGAGAAGTGAGACAATAATAAAAAGAATAAAATAAAATAGGAGATGCATAGACTTGTAGCTTCCAGTCCAGCACCTAAGGAGCTTGGAAGTCATCACGCTTGTCCTCTTGAGCAAAAAGCTGTACAAACCGAAAATAAGCAACTCCTCCTAGATCTGTCAAAGAATTGAGATTATAACCTCAAACCATTGTGCCGTAATTGGAGGTGGATATGTGAGCAGAGAGATGGAAAATCTAGGAATCAAAAGGCAATGCTAGAAATAAACACTGTAAGAGAAATGAAGTATGTTTTTGCTGGGCCCATCAATAGCCTGGACATGGCAGGTCAGAGAATCCAGTCCACATGAAGAAAAGACTTAGAGAAGGAATGAGTGAGGATAAAATAAAATCTTCTTGCCTTCACTCTGTCTTGACCATTTTGCACAACTCTCCACACCTCTGCTTTTGTGTGCAGTTTACCAAAGAACGAAACGGTGGAACAAAAATCGTCGTGGAAGGGAACACAGATGGCCCTATGTAGTGGAGACAAAAGGGAGGGAACACAGATGGCCCTGTGTAGTGGAGACAAACGGTGGCCGTGGACAGGTGGAATTCCATGCAGCCTGTCTCGTCTGGCCTCTTGCACAGTTTTGGCTTCTCCCAGGCTTGGCTTTCTTCTCTGTCCTCTTTCCAGACTTGGGTCACACTAACCAGGAGGAGCATCTTAAGCTCTTGCACTTGCAGAGTGTTTTAATCACCAGGAGGCAGCTCCGCTGTGAGTGCTTTGATTCAGTCACTCATTTACTCCTCACAGTCTCCCCTCAGGCAGGGACTCACTGCAGAGTGTTTTCATCTCATTTACTCCTCACAGCCTCCCCTCAGGCAGGGACTCACTGCAGAGTGTTCTCATCTCATTTACTCCTCACGGCCTCCCCTCAGGCAGGGACTCACTGCAGAGTGTTTTCATCTCATTTACTCCTCATGGCCTCCCCTCAGGCAGGGACTCACTGCAGAGTGTTTTCATCTCATTTACTCCTCACGGCCTCCCCTCAGGCAGGGACTCACTGCAGAGTGTTTTCATCTCATTTACTCCTCACAGTCTCCCCTCAGGCAGGGACTCACTGCAGAGTGTTTTCATCTCATTTACTCCTCACGGCCTCCCCTCAGGCAGGGACTCACTGCAGAGTGTTTTCATCTCATTTATTCCTCACAGTCTCCCCTCAGGCAGGGACTCACTGCAGAGTGTTTTCATCTCATTTATTCCTCACAGTCTCCCCTCAGGCAGGGACTCACTGCAGAGTGTTTTCATCTCATTTGCTCCTCACGGCCTCCCCTCAGGCAGGGACTCACTGCAGAGTGTTTTCATCTCATTTACTCCTCACGGCCTCCCCTCAGGCAGGGACTCACTGCAGAGTGTTTTCATCTCATTTACTCCTCACGGCCTCCCCTCAGGCAGGGACTCACTGCAGAGTGTTTTCATCTCATTTACTCCTCACGGCCTCCCCTCAGGCAGGGACTCACTGCAGAGTGTTTTCATCTCATTTATTCCTCACGGTCTCCCCTCAGGCAGGGACTCACTGCAGAGTGTTTTCATCTCATTTATTCCTCACGGTCTCCCCTCAGGCAGGGACTCACTGCAGAGTGTTTTCATCTCATTTGCTCCTCACGGCCTCCCCTCAGGCAGGGACTCACTGCAGAGTGTTTTCATCTCATTTGCTCCTCACGGCCTCCCCTCAGGCAGGGACTCACTGCAGAGTGTTTTCATCTCATTTGCTCCTCACGGTCTCCCCTCAGGCAGGGACTCACTGCAGAGTGTTTTCATCTCATTTACTCCTCACGGTCTCCCCTCAGGCAGGGACTCACTGCAGAGTGTTTTCATCTCATTTACTCCTCACGGTCTCCCCTCAGGCAGGGACTCACTGCAGTGTTTTCATCTCATTTATTCCTCACGGTCTCCCCTCAGGCAGGGACTCACTGCAGAGTGTTTTCATCTCATTTACTCCTCATGGGCCACTCCTCAGGCAGGGACTCACTGTTCCTGATTTGCACCCAGGGAAATGGGGGTGCAAATAGGTTAAGCAACTTGCCCAAGGTCACAGAGGAGCTGGGGTTTGAACCGGTGCGGCCTGGCTCCCGAACCTACGTCTTCCTGCTCTGCTGCTGTGAAGCCACGTATCTACCTTGGAGGAACATTCTCTTCTGTTGACTCATGGTTGTCTTTGCCATTGGACAGCAGCCCCAGGCTGTGTGTGTGCTCACTGTGTAATGCTGTGAGCTTGGTGCAAATGGCAGGAGCTCTAGGAAATGGATTGTGATTTATGACTTCAAAAGATGGAAGTGAAGGGTATGGGTTTTTCTAAAGATTTAAAGCTGTGGATATACATAGTAATCTAGAATACTAGTAACAGCAATAATGACTTCAAGCATAAAGGGCGCATTTGTATACTACCTCTTTCTCTGAGGGTTCCAGGGGTGCTCATGTTTTTATCCCCCGAATATCTCATTGCAATAATGACATCGAGCATAGAGGGTGCGTTTGTATACTACCTCTTTCTCTGAGGGGTGCTGATGTTTTTATCCCTGAGTATCTCATTGCAATAATGACATCAAGCATAGATGGTGCATTTGTATACTACCTCTTTCTCTGAGGGGTTCGAAGGGTGCTGATGTTTTTATCCCCGAATATCTCATTGCAATAATGACATCAAGCATAGATGGTGCATTTGTATACTACCTCTTTCTCTGAGGGGTTTGATAGGTGCTGATGCTTTTATCCCTGAATATCTCATTGCAATAATGACATCAAGCATACAGGGTGCATTTGTATACTACCTCTTTCTCTGAGGGGTTTGAGGGGTGCTGACATTTTTATCCCCTTTTTAGTACTTTATCCCTTTTTAGTATTTTTAGTATTTTATCCCTTTTTAGTACTTTAAGAAACGCTGTTAAATGTATTTTAGTTAACCAATTTATCTAACACTATAAATGTAAGTAGTACCAACAAACTCTTCACTAGCAATAGTGATTTATTCAATGCTGCATGAAGCTGATCCTGAATAAGCCCTTCTCTTAATAGATGGGTGCTTCTGGGTTCTTAGAGTGAAAGGCCTAAAGGGAATGAACTGTTAGCAGCCACAGCAGAAAAAACGAGAAAGATCTGCCTCTTTTGGAGTCACCAAATGCACCTCTATCAATTTATTGCCTCTCAGCTCCAAATTCACCCTTTATTGCCTTCTTCAGAAACCATGGATCTGAGTCCTGCAAATTCTGTTGAGTTGTGTTTGTGAAGTGTGACAGAGGCATGTGAGGACAGTGGTTTCACTTCTTAGTCTCAGGGCTGTGCACAGAGGCTCTAGCAGGTCCTGCTGCTGCTGGGGTCTCTGGCCTCTGTGTTGCATGGCAGCCAGCAGCTCACCCCCAGCTCCGACAGCTTTGTAGGAGCTTCTCCAGCAATATCCCTCCCTGCCTGAGATGGCTGCAGGCAGCGTGGTCTCCTTGGAGCCCCTGTGCTGTGTTTGCCCTGACAGCCCTGAGTCCAGCTGTACCTGTTACATTCCCTCATTCCTTTCTCATTCAGTATTTATGCATCTGCTTCTTTTCTCTTTGCTTTGATAACACGTTAATGCTGCTTTAGGATCCCAAACTAGAATCATCTTCCATTTACGTGAAATTTTAAGCCGTCACTTCCTAGCCTCTCCCTAAGTGGAAGTATCCTTGACCACTTTCAGTGCTCTTCCTCAAAGATACTTAAAAATACTAGACAATCACTGCCCTCTGTCCTGACTGCTGAGCCTCCAGATTATTTTCTCCTATCGTTTTAAGCATTTGTATTTCAGGCATTTGCTGGAGTCTTTGACACTGTATGTCCAGCATGACCAGCAAATCTTGTTACTCTCGTGATGTTTGCACACATGTCTGTTGACTCCGCTGCAATCCTGCCTGGTACCTTCACCCGAGAGATTTCTGTTTCTCATTGTTTCCATTCCACGGCCTCTCATCTGGTGTCTCATTCATGTGGCCGGGTAAAACTGTATTCAGGGCATTTGTAATTAAGGCTTTGGAGGACGCTTGATCAGATGCTGTAATGGATTTCTGATGCTGCACAGCTGCTAGATTTCATTTATCAGCTCATTTTATGAAAAGGATATTGTGTTTTCAAGGGAATATTTGTTTTGTAGCAACCTGTTTACCCATGTTATATTTTCCTAAAAGTTCTTCATCTTATGAGCTCTTCTCACAGTGATCTGGGTTTTATGCAGAGCTCTGTAAACGTCTTTGTTCTCAGCTCATACCCTTTCCAGCACTGTGTGTTAATCCAACACTGCCCCCTTCCTCGCACTGGGGCCTCAGACTGGCCAGGCCTCCCGGTGATCCGCTGGCGTTGGCTCTCAAGGGAGATGGGTCCATCCTGCCCCGTGCCCTGTGGTCAAGTCTATCCCTCTTCTCTCGCCTCACCTGTGGGATTTGGGCCACTGGCCAGTGGACATGCGGCCTTTTAAGCTGGATGTCATAAGAGACCTCCTCAGTAGCGGTGTGTGGTGTTTTCTCTGCAGGAGGGCACCAGCAGAGCCACCCGGCTGTGCTGAGGACCCAGGAGGAGCAGCGAGAGGAACCAGGGGGCCATCGTGGCTTGGTTGCTTCGCTTCCCTCTAGGTGTCACGTTGTGAAAGGTCTTTCGACAAAGCGCTGTCCATTTAATCGCTATTGTAGATGTTAGTGGCCGGATGCTCCTTTCTGGCTTGGATATTTTGAGTTGGACTGGGATTATTAAACACAGCAACAACTTAGCACATGGAGGTAGATTCTGACTCACTTTAGTCACTCATAATTACACTGCGTGCTTCAGAAGCTGCTCTTCACCCCTGGGCAGGTTGTCCTTTTTCCACGTGTTTGCCGTGTTTTGATGATGGGGTTAGTGCGCGCTCTAAGGGTCTGCACTGAGAAGACCCCTTAGCGCTATCCCGTTATCATTATTTGCCTTAACATTGTTCCATGTAGAGTCTGACGGAATCTTCAGGGTGCTGTTTATGGATGTTTTGAAGTGTCACTGTGCCACTGATTTCCGGTTAAAGCAGAATGTAGACATCTTTTTGCAATTGTTTTTAGTGACTCCACTGGTTTGTGTTGCTGTCTTCTGCTGTGCAGTCCACAGTCTGACATCTTTGTGGTCCCCATGCTTCCCTCCTGCTCGTGTTACCCGATCCTGTGGGTCAGCTGTGAGGAAACCACTCTCTGTCCTCGTCTGGAGTCGCCCCGAGCTGGGTGTGCTGGTCTCCTTGTGTCGCCCTGAGCTGGGTGTGCTGGTCTCCTTGTGGGCAGAAGTATTCTTCTGTTACTGTTTTCTCAGTTTTTTGACCAAATGTAGCAGACTTGTGTATGGTGCAAACATTTCTTAAAATGTCTTTTGCCTTTATGGAAAAAAACCCGCATTTCTTCAAGATGTACCTTTCCTGTGTCTCCATCCTTCCCCACATGATTGCTTTGTGTTAGAGGGTGGTGTGTGTGCTCTATGGCCTCATTCCATCAAGCACTATATGTAACCTCTGATGGCAAAAGTGGTTACACTCAAGGCAGAAAACTTCGCAAATGTTGAAGAGAATGAACAAAAAACAATACGTTGTCATCTTGTCATCCTGAAATGGCTACTGTTAATATTTTGATGTAGTTCTTTCAATTCTTTTTAAGTAAAATTGCTTCTAACACAAGCACTTTAATTACATTGATTAAATTATAGTCAGGAAATAAGGAGAAAGTAAAAAGAATATCCAGTTTGGGGCAAAAAGAAAGACCACATAGAAAGAGGCTGTAAAACTCCCTACAACTTGAAGAAAAGCTGGGTTGCGGTGGTTGTGGTTTTGTTTTTACTGCGAGAGACCACATGATTATTCTGGGCACTGAAGGGCGATAGGATAATACCCTGTGAGTGTTTTGGTGGCCGAGTAAATCCCAGTCCCACGTCCTCTTTCCAAGTAGACAAAGTGTTGAGGTTTGAGGTGGTGGTTTGGTAACTTTTTGAAAATCTGTTTGTAGGACTGCACTGCAGAGATTAGGTTAACCTGACTTAGAATCGAATGATCTGTTCAGGCTGTGGGAGCTTTCTATACCAGGTGTACGTACGCCTGTTCCGGATGTGGTGTAGAAGGAACAGGGCTGGGAGGGTTTGTTGCTTCACCAGTCACCGCCCACAGGCAGGGGCTGGGGAGCACAGCCCGGTGCTGCAGAGATGGGCTTTGAGACTCCCTCCCTGGCCCTGAGGAACTCACAGGCTGAATTTAGACGATGCCGTTATTGAGGCATAGACAGTATATTTTATACCCACACATATGGACATATACATACATGTACGCACATACAGACCTGTACATGTCTGTGTGTGTGTAAGTGACAGAACCAACCTGGCTTTTGTGCTATTTCCTTCGTCTTTTTAGTTGCCTCAGTTGAAACAAGATGTGTTCCTTGTTGGAGGTGAGTGGTTTCATTGTTCCAGACCAGTCATGGAAATGCCTGCAATTATCAGTGTTTCTGTTTTCTCTTGGGAAGCTCTTCTGGGAAGGAAGTGTACTTTCCAAGGCTGTTGGTTGGCCTGTCGTCACCCTGGGGGTCTTGGTGTGGGTCACAGACCCAGGTGCTGTGGCTGCTCATGCGTGGAGCTCTGTCTCTCTTGCTGCTGCTAGTAGACAGCTGATCACCAACAAAGTGTGTGTCCCAGTGGCCTTTCAGAAGAATTCTCTGCATCATTTTTATACAGTCTTTTTTATTTTCAATGTCAACATTGTGTGTTGCAGCCAAGTGATATGTTCTGCAGAAGCAGGAAGTGTGGCCCAAGAGAGAAATAAGGGAATTGATCCATAACTGATACCAGCTTTTATACAGTTGAGCCATTGTAATTGATACGTAAACATCTTAAATCTGTAGAAGTGAGTCAAGGTGCCAGATCCTGACAAGTGCCAAATGTCTACGTGGGACCTCTCTTGTGTCGGGTCCACATCACAAGAAGAAAAGTCATTCAAATGCAACACGGGACCATTGTAATTTATACATAAACATGTTAAATCTGTGGAAGTGAGCCACGGTGCCAGACCCTGACAAATGCCGAATGTCTACGTGGGACCTCTCTTGTGTCGGGTCCACATCACAAGGAGAAAAGTCATTCAAATGCAACATGGAGTGGACGTGAAGCTTTCAGAAACGTCCGTGAATCAGAGCGACTGTTTTCCCATTTGCTGGATTCCCCATTCGAGATGGTGAGATTCCTGTTCCAAGGCTCCCTCAATTTCCCAGCACCCATTTCACTCCTTCCTGGAGATAACAATCTCACAATGATATCTTGTTCTCAGATTTTCTTTTTTTTTTTTTTTTGTTGTTGTTGACTGAAACATCTTTATTTGGCACATGACTGTAGTTGTGTGTGTGTATGTGTTTTTATTAATAGTTTATTAATATTTTCTTCATGGAATTAGGTAACTGAATGTGTTTACTTCTTTTTTTTTTTTTTTTAATTATACTTTAAGTTTTAGGGTACATGTGCACATTGTGCAGGTTAGTTACATATGTATACATGTGCCATGCTGGTGCGCTGCACCCACCAACGTGTCATCTATCATTAGGTATATCTCCCACTGCTATCCCTCCCCCCTCCCCCGACCCCACCACAGTCCCCAGAGTGTGATATTCCCCTTCCTGTAGAAAAATCACATATTTCACAAGAATAGGCTGCCTTACTCACTCCTTAGCCTGGAGTAAGCCACATACCACTTTTCTCTTTAAGATACTCACTTTTCAGGACTCTTGATAAATTATTTAAGAGTAGGAAAGTACCGTGACTTTGGCCACAAGCAGTATTATGTATAATATGCAAGTGTGTGCCTTGATAGCCGCAGTCACTAAAAACAAATTTTCTCAGAAGAGAAAATTGTAAGCATTTCTTTACTTGATCGTTAATTTTGTTTGCCTAAATAACATCTTGCCTTTGTATGGGGAGGTGGAGAAGTCGACTTTTGTTACACAAGATGAGCTTGAAAGTCCCTTAAGTGGTAAAGGATGCCGCTGAGTATCGACGGGGGTGAGTGGGTCTTGCTGCCCCACTGTATGTGATCCTGAGTATTGACAGGGGTGAGTGGGTCCTGCTGCCCCAGTGTATATGATCCTGAGTATCAACAGGGATGAGTGGGTCCTGCTGCCGCACTGTGTGTGATCCTGAGTATCGACGGGAGTGAGCAGGTCCTGCTGCCCCACTGTGTGTGATCCTGAGTATAGATGAGGATGAGTGGGTCCTTCTGCCCCACTGTGTGTGATCCTGAGTATCGACGGGAGTGAGCAGGTCCTGCTGCCCCACTGTGTGTGATCCTGAGTATAGATGAGGATGAGTGGGTCCTTCTGCCCCACTGTGTGTGATCCTGAGTATCGACGGGAGTGAGCAGGTCCTGCTGCCCCACTGTGTGTGATCCTGAGTATAGATGAGGATGAGTGGGTCCTGCTGCCCCACTGTGTGTGATCCTGAGTATCGACAGGGGTGAGTGGGTCCTGCTGCCCCACTGTGTGTGATCATGAGTATTGATGGGAGTGAGCGGGTCCTGCTGCCCCACTGTGTGTGATCCTGAATATCGACAGGGGTGAGTGGGTCCTGCTTGCCCCACTGTGTGTGATCCTGAGTATCGACGGGAGTGAGTGGGTCCTGCTTGCCCCACTGTGTGTGATCCTGAGTATCAACGGGAGTGAGCGGGTCCTGCTGCCCCACTGTGTGTGATCCTGAGTATCAACGGGAGTGAGCGGGTCCTGCTGCCCCACTGTGTGTGATCCTGAGTATAGACGGGGATGAGTGGGTCCTGCTGCCCCACTGTGAGTGATCCTGATTATCGACAGGGGTGAGTGGGTCCTGCTGCCCCACTGCGTGTGATCCTGAGTATCGACGGGAGTGAGTGGGTCCTGCTGCCCCACTGTGTGTGATCCTGAATATCAATGGGGTGAGTGGGTCCTGCTGACCCACTGTGTGTGATCCTGAGTATAGACAGGGATGAGTGGGTCCTGCTGCCCCACTGTGTGTGATCCTGATTATTGACGGGAATGAGTGGGTCCTGCTGCCGCACTGTGTGTGATCCTGAGTATCGACGGGAGTGAGCGGGTCCTGCTGCCCCACTGTGTGTGATCCTGAGTATAGATGGGGATGAGTGGGTCCTGCTGCCCCACTGTGTGTGATCCTGAGTATAGACGGGGATGAGTGGGTCCTGCTGCCCTACTGTGTGTGATCCTGAGCATCAGTGGGAGTGAGCGGGTCCTGCTGCCCCACTGTGTGTGATCCTGAATATCAACGGGGGTGATTGGGTCCTGCTGCCCCACTGTGTGTGATCCTGAGTATAGACAGGGATGAGTGGGTCCTGCTGCCCCACTGTGTGTGATCCTGATTATTAATGGGAATGAGTGGGTCCTGCTGCCGCACTGTGTGTGATCCTGAGTATCGACGGGAGTGAGCGGGTCCTGCTGCCCCACTGTGTGTGATCCTGAGTATAGACGGGGATGAGTGGGTCCTGCTGCCCTACTGTGTGTGATCCTGAGCATCAGTGGGAGTGAGCGGGTCCTGCTGCCCCACTGTGTGTGATCCTGAATATCAATGGGGGTGATTGGGTCCTGCTGCCCCACTGTGTGTGATCCTGAGTATAGACAGGGATGAGTGGGTCCTGCTGCCCCACTGTGTGTGATCCTGATTATCGACGGGTGAGTGGGTCCTGCTGCCCCACTGCATGTGATCCTGAGTATTGATGGGAGTGAGCGGGTCCTGCTGCCCCACTGTGTGTGATCCTGAGTATCGATGGGAGTGAGCGGGTCCTGCTGCCCCACTGTGTGTGATCCTGAGTATAGATGGGGATGAGTGGGTCCTGCTGCCCCACTGTGTGTGATCCTGAGTATCGACAGGGGTGAGTGGGTCCTGCTGCCCCACTGTGTGTGATCCTGAATATCGACAGGGGTGAGTGGGTCCTGCTGCCCCACTGTGTGTGATCCTGAATATCGACGGGGGTGATTGGGTCCTACTGCCCCACTGTGTGTGATCCTGAGTATAGATGGGGATGAGTGGGTCCTGCTGCTCCACTGTGTGTGATCCTGAGTATCGACAGGGGTGAGTGGGTCCTGCTGCCCCACTGTGTGTGACAAGCCCTTTGTTTCTGGCCTGGGAATGTCCCAGCTCTGTCAGCATGTTGGGCTGGTGCTGGCTCCCTTGTTAGTTTGCATGCGAGACAAAAATCTCACACTTTTCACTCTTCTTGACATATAGATGCCGAAGCTTTTTACAAATTATTACTACATCAAACCCAAAATATGTAAAAGGGATATGAATATCACAACCAGTTGAGTTTGTTCTCTTGATGTGGTGTAGTTTTGCCTGGCACACTTGGCTCATCATTCAAAAATCAATGTAATTCACTACATTGACAAAAAATAAAGGAGAAAACCCATTTTATCATCTCAGAAGATGCTGAAAAACATCTGTTGAAATTTAATAGTCGTTATACGAATTTCCTGTCACATCAGGAACAGAAGGGATCTTTCTCTGTTTGATAAGGGCCCTTCCTGAAAAATGAGAGCTGATGCCCCTCCTCCATGGTGGCAGCCGGGGCGCTCTGCCCACAGTTGGGTGTCAGGGGATCATGGCCATTCTCCGTGGTTCAGGTCTGCATGGCACTCACTGGGGCCCTCGTCAATGAAGTGAGTCAGGAGAACTAAAAGGCACAGACTTGGAAGGCATGAGACACTTGATTTACCGAAGACACAGGGCCTTATTTAGAAAATTTTAGGAAATCTAGAAGCAACCAGAAATGGTGTGAATTTTGCAAGCATGCAAGATACACTCTTCACAACAGATGTATACAGATGCCCAGTGGACCATGGGACTCTTCACAACAGAGGTATACAGATGCCCAGTGGACCATGAGACTCTTCACAACAGTTGTATACCGATGTCCAGTGGAAGATAGACTCTTCGCAACAGATGTATATAGATGCCCAGTGGACCGTGAGACTCTTCATGACAGGTGTATACAGATGCCCAGTGGACTGTGAGACTTTTCACAACAGATGTATACAGATGCCCAGTGCAAGATAGACTCTTTGCAACAGATGTATATAGATGCCTAGTGAACGGTGAGACTCTTCACAACAGATGTATACAGTTGCCCAGTGGACCATGAGACTCTTTGCAACAGACGTATACAGATGCCCAGTGGGCCTGTGAGACTCTTCACAACAGATGTATACAGATGTCCAGTGCAAGATAGACTCTTCACGACTGATGTATACAGATGCCCAGTGGACCGTGAGACTCTTCACAACAGATGTATACAGACGCCCAGTGGGCCTGTGAGACTTCACAACAGATGTATACAGATGGCCAGTGCAAGATAGACTCTTCTCAATAGATGTATACAGATGGCCAGTGCAAGATAGACTCTTCACAGCAGATGTATACAGATGCCCAGTGGACCGTGAGACTCTTCACAACAGATGTATAGAGATGCCCAGTGGTCCTGTGAGACTCTTCACAACAGGTGTATACAGATGCTCAGTGGACTGTGAGACTCTTCACAACAGATGTATACAGATGTCCAGTGCAAGATGGACTCTTCACAACAGATGTATACAGATGCCCAGTGCAAGATAGACTCTTCGCAACAGTTGTATACAGATGCCCAGTAGACCATGAGACTCTTCACAACAGATGTATACAGATGCCCAGTGGACTGTGAGACTCTTCGCAACAGATGTATACAGATGCCCAGTGCAAGATAGACTCTTCACAACAGTTGTATACAGATGTCCAGTGGGCCTGTGAGACTCTTCACAACAGATATATACAGATGTCCAGTGCAAGATATACTCTTTGCAACCAATATATACAGATGCCCAGTGGGCCTGTGAGACTCTTCACAACAGATGTATACAGATGTCCAGTGCAAGACAGACTCTTCACAACAGATGTATACAGATGTCCAGTGCAAGATAGACTCTTCACAACAGTTGTATACAGATGCCCCATGGGCCATGAGACTCTTCACAACAGTTGTATACAGATGCCCAGTGCAAGATAGACTCTTCACAACAGATGTATACAGATGCCCAGTGGTCCCATGAAAGGCGCTCACCAGGGGTCATTTGGTAAGTACAACTTAAACCCATGAGGTTCCACTTCACAAGAGTGGAGGAGGAGGATGGTAGCAGGTGCTAGTGAAGATATGACAGGCTGGATCTCAGACTGATGGAGACTTAAAACGGCACGGCCACTTTAGCAAACAGTGTGGCAGTTTCTTTAAAATGTGTACATTTACCATATGGCCCAGCAGGTATGCTGTAGATGTTCACCAAGGAGAGATGAAAATGTGTGTCCGTGTAAAAGAATGCACATTATCTCCAGAGTAAATTCTCATAGCCAAAAACTGGAAACAACGTAAATCTCTCTCAGCTGGAGAAACATGAGCAAATTATGATATATTCATACATTGTCCTAGTTCCCATCAGGAAAAATGTACAAAATACTGAAACCAAAATAGGCAACGGCGATGAGTTCCAGGAGCCTTGAATTGAGCAGAGAGTGAACACCATGCTGTGGAGTCCATGTGACGGTGGAGAATCTACACGAGTGTCAGGTGACGGAATAGCGCCAAGGAACACTCCTCATGAATGAACAGTGGCTGTCTCTGGAGTGAACACCATGCTGTGGGCTCCATGTGACGGTGGAGAATCTACACAAGTCTCGGGTGACGGAAGAGCACCAAGAAACACTCCTCATGAATGAACAGTGGCTGTCTCTTGAGTGAACACCATGGCGTGGGCTCCATGTGATGATGGAGAATCTACATGAGTCTCGGATGATGGAAGAGCGCCAAGGAACACTCCTCATGAATGAACAGTGGCTGTCTCTTGAGTGAACACTATGCCGTGGGCTCCATGTGACGGTGGAGAATCTACACGAGTCTCGGGTGACGGAACAGTGCCAAGGAACACTCCTCATGAATGAACGGTGGCTGTCTCTTGAGGGAACACCATGGCGTGGAGTCCATGCAATGGTAGAGAATCTACACGAGTCTCGGGTGATGGAAGAGCGCCAAGGAACACTCCTCATGAATGAACAGTGGCTGTCTCTTGAGGGAACACCATGGCGTGGAGTCCATGTGACGATGGGGAATCTACACGAGTCTCAGGTGACGGAAGAGCACCAGTGAACACGCCTCATGAATGAACAGTGGCTGTCTCACGAGGGCCAGGATTGACCGGGAGGGGATGTGTGGGAACTTTGAGGCAAAAGATTTGATCAGGGTAATAGGTAGATTTCCACTTATCAAAGTGCACCAAGTGTACTTAAGATCTGAACATTTCACTGTGTATACTTTGTACTCCCGCCCTTCCAAAAGAAAACAATGAAAAAATAATTGTAAATGAACACTGAACTCTATTTGATAGATTTTTCACAGTGGTACTAGATAGCAATTCTGAAAGCATTTCTGTATCTCCAGGCTTAAGCAAATAAGCTTAATAAATTAGTGAATATATTGAGGGTAACAGGAGCCAGGTTTCTTTTTTGGCAAGAGAGGTAGAAATAAGAAAAGGCCAAAGCCTGGAATGGATCATGTGGGATTGGGTTGCAGCAGGAGGTACCAGTATGAGCTGGTGGCTCCCGACAGATGTAGACAGGGACAGAAGTGCCTGTGGATGGGTGTGGGTGTACATGTGTGTACACACATGTTGTGTGTTCTGCTTGCTGGCAGTGCCCAGCAGCAGAGACCCCCAGTGACAGCACACCCGGTTCCTAGTCTTAGCTTCCAAACACCATACTTCACTAGCAGGAGCCCTGGTCCAAGGGCTGGGGAATCCGGTGTCAAATCTGGAACCAATTGAGCACCAAAACAAACCATTATAATTATGAATTATGACCCACCAAGCCAGACTCCATGAGTTCATATTGACAGAAGTAAATGAGTGATGAAAGATAAAATGAGTAAATATTTTTAAGTGAATGTAGAAGATCTAATGATTTAGAAGGAATGGCAGGAAATCATCAGTGGATGCTAAAACTAGTAGTGAAGGATCGATGAAAAACAGAATATGTACATAGTGTCACAGTCTCTCCTCCCAAATCTTAATTGCAATGTGAGTAGTAGCATCTTTGCTTTGGAGGAACTTAAGCACCACCTTCACTGAGTTGCCGACATTAACATTGCCACACAGGACAGACTTCTGCGGTATCCCTGCTAAAATGCATACTCTTGAGTCTAGTCCGGAAGATACCAAAATAAAGGACAAGCTGTAAAATAACTAACCTGTATTCTTGAAAATTTCCAATTTCAAGAAACAAAAAAGCTGAGAAACTTGGATTCACGAAGGGTAAAAATCACTTGACAAATAAATGCAATTCATGATCCTGGATTGGATCATAAAATAGGAAGACAAAGTAAGAAAATTATGGAGACAGTTGACACCATTTGAATGTGAACTTTGTATATGACAGCTAAATTTCCTGATCTTGAGGAAAATGTATGTGAGAGAATATTCTTGTGTTTAGGAAATACATTGAAACATTTAGGTATAGAGGAATATAGTATCTGAAATTTATTTTCATTTGACTTAGAAAATTCATGGGGGAGCGGGGAGAGCAGTGGTGTAAGATAGGAGCAGTTGGTGAGCCTGGTAAAAGTTATATGGGAATTCTCTACACTGGTCTTGCAGATTTTCTGTGTATCTGAAATTATATCCAAAAAGTTTAAAATGGAGAATATGCAAAACAAAAAGTGATTTGTGGGAAGTGAGTGGACTGTGTCACCTCACTGATGAGCCCTTCAGTTTTTGGCCATGAGCCCAAGTCAGTCACATATTGATTTTTGACCTGGGAATTAGAAAGAGTGGCCAGAAAACCAGGCTCTTTATCTAGTTAGAGAGAGAAGTACGCACAAAGGCTGACCAAGACCAAGCAGTGTGATGAGCTGATTGTGGGCGTGATGCGGCGGGTCTGGGTCCTGTCTCAGGTGGCAGCTCGCGGGGTTTAAGCAGGAAAGACATGTCTGATTCCCTTTCAGTGGGATCATTCTCACAGCTTCAGAGAAGACTGCCTCGTCCTGGGGACCCTTTCCCCCAACCCGTCTTCACTCACACTGGCCATTTTGGTTGGTGGTGATTTTATTCTGCTAACACCGTTCTCACTCACAGTTTAGGGCCTTTGAGTGGGTTTTTGCCTGTGTCTCGAAGATTCTTGTCTTGAAGCCTGTTATTCTGATTTTGTGTTGAGAGGGTTCTTCCCTGGCTTCACAGTTTGGAGTTGCCACAGCGTCTGTCTCTGCTTTAATTCTCTACCCCGTCTGTCACCTGTCTTGTCCATTAGGAATTGGCCTGCGTGAGATGCTGTGACACTGTCTGCCTTATCACCACTGCGTTCCCAGCCCTTAGGGACTTACAGAGGAGGCACTTGGTGAATGTGTGGAATTAATGTAATGGATTCATAGCCACAAAGCGTGTTAATGGTTGTATTAGTCCATTTTCACATTGCTGATAAAGACATACCCAAGACTGGGAATAAAAAGGTTTAATTGGCCTTGCAGTTCCGCATGGCTGGGGAGGCCTCAGAATCATGGTGGGAGGCAAAAGGCACTTTTTACATGTCAGCAGCAAGAGAAAACGAGGTAGAAGCAAAAGCGGAAACCTCTAATAAACCATCAGATCTCATGAAACTTACTCACTATCACGATAATAGCACGGGAAAGATGGGCCCCAATGATTCAATTACCTCTTCCTGGGTCCCTCCCACAACACATGGGAATTCTGGGAGATATAATTCAAGTTGAGATTTGGGTGGGGACACAGCCAACCCATGTCAATAGCCAACACAGTCCTGGCCTGTGGCTGGTGCTCAGCTGAGCTGTGACCGTGGCTGTGAGTTGGGGTGCGAGGCATGCACAGCCTCTCAGCAGTACAGTGAAAGGATTTGGAGGCTCGAACGTGTGACCTACAAAGAGATCTCCAAAGATCAAGGTCCATTCACCCTAAAAAGACAAATCTCAGTGCAGTTTACAGCCAGTGTTTGCTTATGGATATGGATTCTGTGGTAATAAAATAAATGATTAAAAGTCTGTGAATGAATTTTAATGTCTTTACTGGAATTGTAAACACTGATTTTCTTTCCTCGCCCACCCATCTGTTGGTGAGTTTCAGAAGGTGGATGAACTGTGCTGCAGGGACAGAGAGGAGGGTGCAGCTTGGCCTCTGGGACCTCAGCTGAGCACTGAGTGACTGAGCTCTCTCCGTTTCAGACGTCCACACGGAAGCTGTCCAGGCGGCTCTGGCCAAACACAAAGAGCGGAAGATGGCAGTGCCTATGCCTTCCAAACGCAGGTCCCTGGTCGTGCAGACCTCGATGGACGCCTACACCCCTCCAGGTAAGGGACACGCTCCCCGACACGGCCTCCTGAATGTGCCGGGCACCTCAGAATTGACCTAGCCCAGCAATCAGGGGTTTTTGCTTTCAAAATAATGAAGCAGTAATGCAGATTTTGTGAACCAGAAGTCCAAAAACAGTGTTGTATGAGTTAAACGTGGAAGGAAAAGTAACATTATTATGTATCTGTATAAAAACACATTTTTAACTTTTCATCAAGACTCATACATATGATACATACCAGTAAAATCTCAAACAATTTTATTCATTTAATTCTTTGTAGGGGAAAGGGAAGAGTTTGTACCCCTCTGGGTGGAATTGGACTTTTCTTCTGATTAGGCTGGTGCATACATGTTCTCAAATCTTCATATAAATGTGCTATATTGTTGTATTGTTTTAGAACAAGCAAATTGGACAATTTAGGCAGTTACCCAAATCACGGGTCATAAACTTTGCCTGCAAGTTGCCAGATAGTATTTTAGTTCCTGCAGGCCATAAGGTCTGTCACAACCACTCAACTCTGCCCTTGGAGTGTGAAAGCAGCCATAGGTGATAGCAAGTGGGTATGGCTGTGTACCAATAAAACTTTATAAGAACAGCGGACCAGATTTGGTGCACAGATGTGCCAACCCCGATCTGAATTACTGAAGGTAATAGCCCATTTATATTTGTGTTATGTAATACTGCTTTTATTTAATCTTGAATTTTACATAACTACCCAAATTCTCTATTTTCTCTGCCCAAATAATTATAAACTACATCTCATGATCTTCCCACCCAAGTAAAGCAGAAAGTGTAGTTATCCAGATACTTGTTAGAAACATGGATTGAACCTACGTTGTTTGGTGTTTAGTTTCTGTGATTTTGATTCCAACATTATTCATGTGACAGTTGCAAGCTTGTCTTCTCAAAGGACCTAAATCACCTTACATCCCACTTTGAAGCTACACACCACTTTGACACCATTTTTTTCTCCACTACAAGAGAAACTTAAGGTACAATATGAATAGTTGAAAATGTACAATTTTTTGGGAGTATTTTTACTTTTGAAGTTTAGCTTGGTCTTGGCAAGCAGTGAGACAGAAGGACATGCATCAGATCAGAGCTGAGATCAAGCATATGCCCACATTATTCCAAGTAGCTCCTGAGTATTCACCTTTATACCTTTACTAATGAAGGTACTGAGATTGATAGGACAGAACTTAAAGAGTGCATAATTTGGGGTTTTTGTTGTTTTTTGTTTGTTTTGAGACAGGGTCTTGCTCTATCGCCACGGTCAGAATTCAGTGTCATGATTGCAGCTCTTGGCTCACTGCAGCCGTGACCACCTGGGCTCAGGCGGTCCTCCCACTTCAGCCTCTCAAGCACCTGGGACCACAGGTGCATGCCACCACACCCAGCTAATTTTTAAGTTTTTGTGGAGACAGGGTGTTCCTATGTTGTTGTTGTTTTTCATTTACACATGCGTGATCTTCGTCTAAAGAACACAGTGCCAGCGGGCAAGAGAGTGAACGCCGTGCTAGCAAATGCCAGTGGGCAAGGGAGTGAACGCCGTGCTAGCAAGGTTGTTGGCAAGGGAGTGAACGCCGTGCTAGCAAATGCTAGCGGGCAAGGGAGTGAACGCCGTGCTAGCAAGGTTGTTGGCAAGGGAGCTCTTTCTGCCAACGTGCTCCCTTGGGCTCCTCCTTTTCTTTATTTTAATATTAAGCAACAGCACGTAATTAGGGGCTAGGCACGGTAGCTCATGCCTGTAACTCCTGCACTTTGGGAGTCCAGGGCAGGCGTATGGCTTGAGCCCAAGAGTTCAAGACCAGCCCGGAAAACATGGCAAAATGTACCAAAATGCCTTTTGTACATTTTGTCTCCACCAAAAGTACAAAAAATTAGCTGGGCCTGGTGGTGTACACCTGTAGTCCCAGCTACTTGGGAGGCTGAGGTGGAAAAATCACTTGAGCCTGGGAGGCAGAGGTTGCCGTGAGCTGAGATGGCACCACTGCACTCCAGCCTGGGAAACACAGCAAGACCCCATCTCAATTAGAAAAAAATAACGATAATAAATAGAGACTCTTTAAAAATGATTAGGCCAGGCATGGTGGCTCATGCCTCCAGCCTCAGCACTTTGGGAAGCCAAGGCAGGCAGATTGCTTGAGTCCTGGAGTTTGAGACCAGCCTGGGCAACATTCCAAAACCCTGTCTCCACCAAAAATACAGAAATCAGCCAGGCATGGTGGTGTGTGCGCATAGTCCCAGCTGCTCGGGAGGCTGAGGTGGGAGGATCACTTGGGCCCAAGGAGGCTGAGGCTGCAGTGAGCCATGGTCATGCCACTGCACTGCAGCCTGGGCAACAGAGGAAGACCCTATCTCAAAAAAAAAAAATGCTTAATCCTGTTTGTTTAGTTTATGGTTATAATTTGCCAAAACTTATGGTAAAAAAATGTTATTTGTATGTGTTCTTTGTGTAACTAACAAAATGGACTTAAAAGGATAACCCACTTGAAATATTTTAAACCGAATTCTTGGCACTAACCGGTTATTTAAGGCAACACACATTTTTCTTGACCACTTTTTATAAGAGAAACGATGAGTTTGAAATGGAAGAAGCAGTGTGGTTATTTGCTTGCTTATTTCTCATATTGAATCCAACCACTGAGAGATGTTACTGGGTCATGTGTGATGAATAACCTCATTGTACAGATGTCTTTGCAAAATGCAAAAGAATATTTGAAATGTTATTTTTGTGAAATATTTGGATTTGACTAGCATTTTTATATAAACCATAAAAAACCTTCTGTAAATTTTCATCAGGAGTCCTTGTGATATCACATGGGGTAGTTTTGTACAATCATAAATATCAATATCATAAAAATTTTTTACTCCCAGCTATTTTGTGCTTAGCAGTAGTCTGCATGTTTATTACCCTGCTTACTTGAACAAAATCTTAGCTGCATTTTCTTACCTATTTTTCTTGGTTGTTGGTAACAGTGGTTAGATCTTATCTCAGTTTCATTGCTCTTCAGAGAATATTCTTAAAGTTTATCTTCTATGAAATGACTGGCTGCTGACCAGGATCATAGTTTCTGGAGAAACTCTCATTAGCATTGTCACAATGCTAATATTCCATGGGTGAAACTTTCCCTTAATTTTCAAATGTAAAGATACAAGAATAATTTGCCAAAACTTCTGCTTCTAGCCATGATGAGATAACAGGGACCCAAATCACACCTCTGCCATAAACAACTGTAAAACTGCACAAAACGAATGAGATGGCTGTTTTAAGTCTGTGACTACAGCTGTGCCAGCCAGAACTTGAGGGCAGGAGAATGAATGAGACGCACAGACAGTACATTTGCCCTCTGCCTGGAGAACACCTGCAGACCGTGGCTCAGAGAGCTCAGGTGTGAGTGGAGCATGGCCACCCTACCACGTCCAGGAGGCGGAGATCAGAGAGAGCTCAGGTGTGGGCGGAGCATATCACCCTACCACATTCAGGAGGCGGAGCTCAGAGCTCAGGTGTGGGTGGAGCATGGCCACCCTACCATGTCCAGGAGGTGGAGCTCAGAGCTCAGGTGTGGGTGGAGCATATCACCCTACCATGTCCAGGAGGCGGAGCTCAGAGAGACCTCAGGTGTGGGTGGAGCATATCATCCTACCACATCCAGGAGGTGGAGCTTGGAGAGAGCTCAGGTGTGGGTGGAGCATATCACCCTACCATGTCCAGGAGGCGGAGCTCAGAGCTCAGGTGTGGACGGAGCATATCACCCTACCATGTCCAGGAGGTGGAGCTCAGAGAGAGCTCAGGTGTGGGCGGAGCATATCACCCTACCATGTCCAGGAGGCGGAGCTCGGAGAGAGCTCAGGTGTGGGTGGAGCATGGCCACCCTACCACATCCAGGAGGCGGAGCTCGGAGAGAGCTCAGGTGTGGGTGGAGCATATCACCCTACCACGTCCAGGAGGCGGAGCTCAGAGAGAGCTCAGGTGTGGGCGGAGCATATCACCCTACCATGTCCAGGAGGTGGAGCTCAGAGAGAGCTCAGGTGTGGGTGGAGCATATCACCCTACCATGTCCAGGAGGCGGAGCTCAGAGAGAGCTCAGGTGTGGGCGGAGCATATCACCCTACCATGTCCAGGAAGCAGAGCTCAGAGAGATCTCAGGTGTGGGTGGAGCATGGCCACCCTACCATGTCCAGGAGGCGGAGCTTGGAGAGAGCTCAGGTGTGGGCAGAGTATATCACCCTACCACGTCCAGGAGGTGGAGCTGAGAGAGAGCTCAGGTGTGGGTGGAGCATATCACCCTACCACGTCTAGGAGGTGGAGCTCAGAGCTCAGGTGTGGGTGGAGCATGGCCACCCTACTACGTCCAGGAGGCGGAGCTCGGAGAGAGCTCTGGTGTGGGCGGAGCATGCCACCCTGCCAAGTCCAGGAGGCGGAGATCGGAGTGGGTGCAGGACTGGAGCTCTCCACCCATCCACACCAGCAGCAAATCAATCCAAGCCTGCCCATGGTCACGATGACCCAGCAGTGCCTGCGCTGCCTGCTAAAACAAGAGCTGGAAAGCTTCCGAAGAAGCTTATGGGATCCTGAGCGTGCTCAACACGTTACCCACAATGTGCAATATTAAGCAAACAATCACTGCATACACAGAGAAACCGGAGGTAGAATCTGTGGTCAAGAAAAAGGCAGTAAAATGTGGACACACATGCAAGATGATCTCTGTCACTCACCACACGTGGTGGCTGAGTACATGAAGTGCGCCCGGTCTGAACTGAATTCGCTGTGTGAAAGACACCAGTTAATATAAAAAATAGAAAATATTTTCTTTGTATTTCTTATTGAAAGTATAGTATGAGCATTTTGAGTTAAAAGTATATTAATAAAATTAATTGTACCTGTTTATATATTTATATATATATATGAGGCTACAAAGTAGGTTTAAAGTTCTATATAGGATTCTCATAATTCTGTTGGAAGGTGCCAGTCTAGATGTCTGATACAGCAAAAGACAGAGTTTTTAAATCTACAATTATAAATATTTCGGGAATCAAATTAAAATGTGTCAAAGAACGAAAAGAAAATATTTTAATACTTGAGCCAGAGGAAGGGAAGACACTTTTTATTACAATGGAGTTGGGGAGTTTCAGGTTCCATACGTGATAATCTTGAGAATTGTCACTGCCTCCTCACAGGTGAAAAGCTGAGCAAACTGAAAACTCAGCAGCTCTTCTTAAACCTGCAAGAGACATGAGGTCACAGGCAAGCCACTGTCCCCAGATAGGGTGGACAGGTGAAGTGGAGAATCACCATACACTGGAGCAGAAAGCTCCAAGGAACCCCCGCTGGGATTGGAAAACCTGAACTGGAATTGACAAATTGCTGTAGTGAGGTTGTGGCCAAGTCTGAGAGTTAAAACGTCCAGGAGGCCTGTGCATACAGGGCCATGATTTTGTGAGTTGTACCATCAGAAGCTCAACCAGGTTCTCGAAGTAAATATCAGGGAAGAATCCCCTCATACTTACTACAGGGGACGGAGAATAGGAATCATTTTCAAATATGCAGGAGCACTCTTAACTAGGTCTACCTTCCAGAGAAGCTAGTTAACTAGAGACTAACCTGGTGGGGTTTTATCAAAGCCTTCCGGCCTGGGGAAAAGGAAATATCCAACTCCAACCTCCAGAACTGAAAAGCAAAGAGAACACTAAAAAGCAAAAAAGAACAGAGTATCCAAGCACTATGGGACGACTACAGAAAGCATAAATTATGCGGAACGGTAATACAAGGAGAAGAATGAGGAACAGAAGAAGTATTTTTAACATTAATGGCTGAATTTCCTCAGATTAATGCCAGACACCAAACCATAGATTCAGGAAGCTCCAGAAACACGAAGCAGGATAAATGTAAAAACAACAACGACAAAAACAAAAATAAACTATACTTGGGCATATAATTTTCAAACTACGGCGAATCAAAGATTTTTTAAAAACCCCAACAAAGAAACCAGAGTAATCTCCTTCCCTATAGAGGATCAAAGATAAGAATTCTATTCAACTTCCCCTCAAAAACCACGAAAGCAAGAAGTAGAGTGAAATATTTAAACTATTGAGAGGAAAAAAATGCCATTAACCTAGAAGTCTATACCCTGTGAAATTATCTTTCAAAAAGTGAAGGAAAAGTAAAGACTTTCTCAGAGAAAAATTGAGAAATTTGTTGCCAGTAGACCTGCCTTGCAAAAAGTGTTCATAGTTCTTTAGAGAAAATAGTAGAGGTCAGTAACTCAGCTGTGCATAAAGAAAGGAAGAGCAGAGTCTGTGTACAGGGGCTCACACCTGTCACCCTAACACTCTGGGAGGCCAAGGCGGGAGAATTGCTGGAGGCCGGTTATTTGAGACCAGCCTGGGCAACGTAGTGAGACTCTGTCTCTTAAAAAAAGCCAAACATGGTGGCTGACACCTGTAGTCCCAGCTACTTTGAGAGGCCAAGATGGGAGGGTCACTTGAGCCCAGGATCCTTTTCAAGGCTGCGGTGAGCTATAATGATGCCACTCTACTCCACCCTGGGCAACAGAGCAAGACCTTGACTGTTAAGAAAAAGCATCAAAGAAGGAACAGTGAAGGTAGGAGAAAAACTTTTATTTTTCTTAATAGATTTAATGTAACAGTTCATTCATAATAGCGACAGTGTATTTGATTATATGCTTATGTATATACCATATACACACAGTTAAATGTAAGTGAAATGAATGACAGCAGTGATACAAGGGATGGGAGAGAGCAATTAGGATTTAGGATTATTTTGTTTTTATAGTGTGCTTGCATTATCCAGAAAGCAGTATAGTGTCATTTGAAAGTGGGCTTGGGTTACTTGTGAATTTATATTGCAAATCCCAAGGCAGCCACTTAAAAAAAAGTAACTGATATGATAAGAAAGGAAAGAAAATAGAAAATGCTCAATTAAGACCACAAGAAGAAAGAAAAAAAAAGACAAAAGGGCAACAGATAGAAAATAGTAACAAATATGGTAGATATTAATTCAACTGTATATCATTACTCACTTTCAATGTCAGTCTAAATGCACCCAACTATATATTGTCTATATAAGAAATCTACTTTAGATATAAAGAAATATATATAGATCAAGAGTAAAGGGATAGAAAAAGATATAAATGTTAACACTAATTTATTTATTTTATTTTTTTTGAGATGGAGTCTTACTCCTTGGCCCAGGCTGGAGTGCAATAGCCCGATCTTATCTCAGTGCAACCTCCGCCTCCCAGATTCAAGTGATTCTCCTGCCTCAGCCTCCCGAGTAGCTGGGACTACAGGCATTTGTCATCATGCCTGGCTATTTTTTTTTTCCTATTTTTGTAGAGATGGGGTTTCACTATGTTGGCCAAGCCAGTCTTGAACTCCTGACCTCAGGTGATCATCCTGCCTCGGCCTCCTAAAGTGCTGGGATTACAGGCATGAGCCACTGCCCAGCCAACACTAATTTTAAAAAATGGAAGTGGTGATGTTAATTTGACAGAGCAGGCTTTACATCAAGGGAAGTTACCAGAGATGATTATTTTCTCCAAGAAGATAAAACAATCCTTAAATGTATTTTTGCCTAAGAAAGCATCAAAATGCCAAAGCAAAAACTGATAAACTTCAAGGAGAAATAATCCAGTATTATAGTTGGAGACTTTAACACCCCTTTATCAGAAATGGACCAATTCAGTAGCCAGAAAATCAGTAAGGACAAAATTGAAATCAACAACATCCTCAGTCAACTGTATATAATTGACATTTATAGACTATTTCCTCCAACAACAGAATGCTGAACATTCACCATGATATACCACGTTTTGGTCCATAAAACACACCTTAACAAATTTAAAAGAATAGGAATTAAACGAGTATGTTCTCAACCACAATGAAGTAGAAATAAATAATAGATGACTGGAAAATATTAGGAATTAAACAATACACTTAAAAATAATGCATTGCTCAAGGAAGAAATCTGAAGATTTCTTTAAAGTTTTGAAGTAAATGAAAATGAAAACTTTTTAAAATTTGTGAGATGCAATGAAAGTAATGTTTATAGGGAAATTTATAGCTTTAAATGCATATGTTAAAAAAGATCTGAAATCAATAAGCTCCCACCTTAGAAAACTAGAAAAAGAACAGCAAATTAAATTCTAAGTAAGCAGGAGACAAATAATGAAAGAGCAGAAATCAACACATTGAAAACAGAAAATCAGTAGAGAAAATCAACGAAACCAACAGCTGGTTCTTTGAGAGAAAATCTATAAGCCTTTAACAAGAAAAAGAAATACAGCAGATAAATTACCAATATCAGAAATGAAATAAGGGACATAACTACAGGTCCCATGGACATTAAAAGGATAATAAATATTATGAAAAACTCTATGGCCACAAATTTGATAACGTGGATGAAATGGACCAATTTCTTTAAAGACAGAATCTGCCAAAATTTGAACAGGAGGAAACAATCTGTATAGGCCTGTATCTGTTAAATTGAATCAGTAGTTGATAACCTTTCAAAACAGGAAGTGCCAGGCCCAGTTGGGTTCATTGGTGAATTCTACCAAACATCTAAAAGAAATTATGCCAATTCTCTACAATCTCTTTCAGAACATAAAAGCTGAGGAATACTTCTTAACTCATTCTAAGCATCATTTTAATACCAAAACTGGAACAAAATATTACAAGAAAACATCTCTCATGAACACAGATGCAATAACCTTCAACAAAATATTAGCAAATTAAATCCAACAGTGTAAAAAAAAAAAATTGTGCACCAAAACCAAGTGGAATTTGTTTCACGCATCCAAAGCTGCTTTAACATTTGAAAACCAATTAACGTAATTCATCACGTTAACAGGCTAAGAAAAAGGAAAAGAATTTGACAAAATCTAACACTCATAATAAAAGCTCCCAGCAAACTAGGAACAGAGGTCACCTTCCTCAACTTGATAAAGAATATGGACAAAAAACCTATTGTTAACATCATACCCAATTGTGAGAAACTAGAATTTTTCCCACTAAGATCCGGAAAGGGGATCAGGAAAAACAAGGATGTCTCCTCTCACCACTTCTTTTCAACATTGTACTAGAAGTCCTAGCTAATGCAATTATGACAAGAAAAATAAATACATATTCATTGGGAAGAGAAATAAAACTTTGTTCATAGATGGCATGTTTGCCTATGTAGAAGATCCAAAAGAATTGAGTTTAATATACAAAAGTTGAACGAATTTCCTGTTTACCAGCAAAGAACAAGTAGAATTTGAAATAAAAAAGTGGCTCATGTCCATAATTCCAGCAATTTGGGAGGCCAAGGCAGGCAGAACACTTGAGGTCAGGAGTTCGAGACCAGCCTGGCCAACATGGCAAAACCCCATCTGTACTAAAAATAATAATTTAAAAAAAAATTTCCAGTAGCACTCCCCAAAATGGAATACTCAGGCATAAAATCTAACAAAATATGTTCAAGATCTTATGAGGAAAACTACAAAACTCATTCACAGAAAAACTAAATGGACAGGTAGTCCACGTTCATGGATAGGAAAACTGAATATTGTCAAGATGTTTTCCTTCCAATGCAGTCCCAACCAACATCCGAACGAGTTTTTTTTTCAATATCAACACACTGATTCAAAAGTTTATTTGGAGAGATGAAAGACTCAGAACAGCCACTTCAATATTGAAAAAGAAGAACAAAGTTGAAGACTGACACTATGCAACTTCAAGACTTACTATAAATCAGTGATAATCCAGACAGTGTGGTATTGGTGAAAGAACAAACAAAAGGATCAATGGGACAGAATAGAGAGCCCAGTAAGAAAATATAGTCAACTAAACTTTGACAGAGGAACAAAGGCAATACAGTGCAGCAAACACAATATTTTTAACAGATGGTACTGGAACAACTGGACATCCATATGCAAAGAAAAACACCAAACCTAGTCACAGACCTTACATCTTTCAAAAAAATTAAACAGATCACAGAGCCACTGTCCTCATTAGTATAGTGGTGAAATATTCCTGCCTGTCAAAATAGATGACAGATGTAAAATACAAAACTATAGAATTCTTAGAAGATAAGGTAAAAATCTAGTGACTTTGATTTGGTGATAAGTTTTTAGATATGACACCAAAGGTGCAAGGTGTGAAATAATTGATAAGCTGGACTCCAATAAAAATGAACATGTTCTGCTATGTCAAAGACTCTTAAAGTAATTAAAATACAAGCCACAGACAGGGAGAGGATGTTTGCAAAAGACATAAATGATAACTTTTATTTGAAATATACAAGGAACTCTTAAAAGTCAACAATAACAAAACAATCAATCTGATTAAAATAGGGGCCAGCCAAGTGTGATGGCATGTGCCTGTAGTCTCAGCTACTCAGGAGGCTAAGGCGGGAGGATCACTTGAGTCCAGGAGCTCCGGGTTGTTGTGAGTTATGCCTCTCAGGTGTCGACACTAAGTTCGGCGTCAACCCAGCGACCTCCTGGGAGGGGTGAACTAGCTTAGGTTGGAAATGGAGGAGGTCAGAATTCCTAAGCTGATCAGTAGTGGGATTGCGCCTTGGAATTGTGCTCCAGACTCGGCAACATTTTGAGATCCTGTCTTTAAAAAATGAATAAGTAAAAAATGGGTCAAAGACTAACAGATGGCTCATCTAAGAAGATATAAAGATGGCAAATCGACATATGAAATGACGCTTCACATCATATGTCATAGAGAAATGCAGATTGAAACAACAGTAAGACACCACTATACACCTATTAGAATGCCCAGAATCCAGAATGCTAGCAACACCACAGCCTATGAAGATGTGGAGCTGCGGGAATTCTCTCTCATTCATTGCTGGTCTTAAAGCAAAATAGAACAGCCTTTAGGAAGACAGCTTGGTGGTTTCTTACAAAACTAAATATACTCTTTACCATATGATCTAGGAATTACACTCCTTGGCATTTGCTCAAAGGAGTTGAAAACTTACGTCTACATACAAAGCCTACACATAGATATTTAGAGCAGCCTTATTCATAATTGCCAAAACTTGGAAGCAACCAAAATGCCCCTCAGTAGGTGAATGTATAAGTAAACTGTGGTACATACAGACAATGGGATATTATTGGATGCTGAAAATAAATGAGCTCTCCATAGAAAGACATGGAGGAAACTTAAATTGACTTCTTTCACTTAGCAATATGCAATCTGAAAAGGTTGCTGTATGATTTTAGCTATGTGACGTCCTGGGAAAGGCAAGACTATGGAGACAGTAAAAAGATCAGTGGTTGCCAGGGTCCAGGGGGAGGCAGCCAGGGTCTGTGGGGGAGGCAGCCAGGGTCCGGGGGGAGGCAGCCAGGGTCCGGGGGGAGGCAGCCAGGGTCCGGGGGGAGGCAGCCAGGGTCCGGGGGGAGGCAGCCAGGGTCCGGGGGGAGGCAGCCAGGGTCCGGGGGGGGAGGCAGCCAGGGTCCGGGGGGGAGGCAGCCAGGGTCCGGGGGGGAGGCAGCCAGGGTCCGGGGGTGAGGCAGCCAGGGTCCGGGGGGGAGGCAGCCAGGGTCCGGGGGGGAGGCAGCCAGGGTCCGGGGGGGAGGCAGCCAGGGTCCGGGGGGGAGGCAGCCAGGGTCCGGGGGGGAGGCAGCCAGGGTCCGGGGGGAGGCAGGGATGAATAGGCAAAGCAGGAGGATTTTTTAGTAGCATGTGATCTCTGTATGATACTGTGATGGTGGATACATGTTATACATTTGTCCAGACCCATATATTGTACGACACCAAGAATGAACCCTGATGTGAACGATGGAGTTTGGGTGATAATGATGTTTCAGTGTAGAAGCATCAGTTGTGACAAGTATACCACTCTGGTAGGCAATGTTGATGATAGGGGACGCTGTGCACATGTGGAGTTGGAAAGGATAAGTGAGACATCACTATAAAGCTGGAAAATATGATAGAAGAAATTTTGCTGGTGGGTTTAACAGGTTGGAGAAGGAAGATGAAGTCTGTGAGCTTGAAGAGGGATGAAAAGAAATTAACCAAAGTGAAGACCAGAGAAACCAAAATTAAATGCGAACAGAACCTCAAGCTCCTGTGACACAATGTTAATATCCTTGTAATATAAGAAGGAAAAGAGAAAAGAGCAGGAGCCTTTGAAGAAATGAGTCAAAATTTACTCAGATTGATGTCAAACACCTGTGTCCAGCCCCGAGAAGTTCAGTGAACTCCAAGCAGAACAAGTATAAAAAGAATCACATCCAGGTTCATGATAGTCAAAGTGCAGGATTAAGAGGAGATCCTGAAAGGACTCCGAAGAAAAAGACACGTTACACTCCAGAGAAGCATTTGAACAATGCATGACTTCTGTGAAGATACAATGGAGACCAGAAGACCATGGAAAGACATTTTTTAAAGTACTAAAAGGAGAAGAAAGGGCTGTCAACTCATATCCGGTGAAAATCTCCTTTATAAACACGGATGAAACGACACATTCACACACATGAAAGCTGAGAGAATATGTTATCAGCAGAACTACACTATAAACATGCTAAAGAATGTACTTTAGGCTGATTGCAAATGCTATCAGATGAAAGGTTAGCTCTATGAAAAAGAAAGGACCCTAGAAATCAAATTTTCTGGAATATAAAATCATAGAACACTTTATGATTTTATGGTTTTTAGTTTTTTATGATCTTAGAATTTTATGATATAAAATCATAAAATGTCCACGCTTCTCTACACCTTCACCTGTTTTGAAGTCCGTGCTGTACCATGCATCAGTAGTTTATTCCTTCTTATTGTTGAATTATATTCTGTTAGATGGATCTAACACATGCTGTTTATTCATTTACCAGTTGGTTATTCATTCTTTCCTCTATTCGGCAATTATGAATAATGCTGCTGTCGACGTTTATGTACATATCTTTGTGTATACGTATAATTTCCTTTATCTTGGGAGGATGCCAAGTAGAATGATTGACTCTTATTGTAAGTTTAGGTTTAGCTTTTTAAAAACTGCCAAATTGTTTACAAAATAGCTGTACCATTTTACATACTGCCACCAGCAGTATATGAGCATCCCAGTTTCTCCACATCATGAGAAGCAGTTGGTATTTTGGTATTTTTATTTTTGCCATTCTAATTGATGTGAAATGGTATATCATTGTGTATTTACTTTGTAACAGTTAATGATGCTAAGCATCTTTTAATGTGCTTATTAGCTTTTAATGTGCTAATTCCTATTCATAGCTATTTGTATATGTTAATTGGTAAAATGTCCAGATTTTTTGCCCATGTTTTAAAATGGGTTGGTTGTCATCTTATGGGTTATAGGTGCCTTATACGATCTGAACGACTTTTACAGGTGTAAGGTTTCTCAGTGAAAGGACAAACTGTTCTGTAGCAGACAGAATAATGACCCTCCCCCAAGATACCCAGGTCCTACTCCCCAGAGCTTTTGAACCTGTTACCTTAAGTGGTAAAAGGGATTTTGCAGCTATGATTAATATAGAGATCTTGATATGGGACCACTATCCTGGTTTAAGCAGGTGGACCCACTGTAATCAAGAACGTCCTTACAAGAGAAAAGGAAGAATTGGAGACTGGAGTGATGGACTTTAAAGATGAGGAGGGGCCATAAGTCAGGGACACAGGTGGCCTCTAGAGGTTGGGAAAGACCAAGAAATGGATTCTCCTTTGAAGCCTCCAGAAGGAACGTAGCTCTGCTGACACTCAGATTTTACACTTCTGACTTCTCCATCTGTAGGATAATAGATACGTGTGTT
Source organism: Homo sapiens (assembly GCF_000001405.40). NCBI lineage: Eukaryota > Metazoa > Chordata > Mammalia > Primates > Hominidae > Homo > Homo sapiens. The sequence continues at coordinate 427,084 of NC_000010.11, read as the reverse complement.
GTTATAAGCCACGAAGATCAAGGTAATTTATTACATTAGCTAGAGGCAGATAATCATCTTTTAAAACTTAGTAGTTTTCTATTTTAATGAAGTCCAGTTTACTAATTTTTATGGATTTTTTGGAAGTTTTAGAAGTCTCATAGTCTTACTGTTCTTTCATTTAGGTCTGTGATCCATTTTGAGTTAATTTTTATCTGTGCAGTAGGGATCTAAGTGGGATTTTTGTTTGTTTGTTGTGGTTTGGTTTGGGGGATTTTTTCCCCCATGCTTTTTCTTTTTGGTGTGTTGGGTACCCAGTTGCCACAGCAACATTTGTTGAAAAAAATACTACCTTTCTCTTACTGAATTGTCTTGAGACGTTTGTCAAAAATAAATTGACCGTAAATATAAGACTTTATTTCTGGGTTTAATTCTGTTCCTTTGATGTATACATCTATTCTTCTGCTAATACTACTGCCTTAATTACTGTGACTTTATGTAAAGTTTTGAAATCAGATAGTGAAGTCCTCCAACTTTGTTTTCCTTTTTCAAAATTATTTTGGCTATTGTAGGTCCTTTGTATTTCCAGATAAAATTGAGAATAAGCTTTCAATTTCACACACACAAAGCCTTCTGGGATTTTATTAGGCAGTGCCTTGAATTAATGGAACAGTTTGGGAAGAATTGCTCTCTTGATAATACTGAGTTTTCCAATTCACAATCATGAATCTATCTCCATTTATTTAGTTTCCATTTATTTGGATCTCCTTTAATTTCAGTAATGTTTTATAGTTGTCAGTGTACACATTTTGTACCTTTTTGTTAGAAGTTTGGCTGAGTGTTTTATGTTTTTGATGTTACTGTGAATGGAACTATTTTCTTAACTTTATTCTCAGGTTGTTTATTGCTAGTATATGTATATCTTGTGTCCTGTGACCTCATCAAACTCATTTTTTAGTAATGCAAAACATTTTTGATGGACTTCTTGCCGTTTTCTACATCCAAGGTCATGTCATCTATGAATAAAGGCACTTTTATTCCTTCTTTTCTAATCTGGATGTCTTTATTATTAAATTTGTTAATTTATTTCACTAGCTAGAACCTGCCAGATAATGTCAAATAAAAGTGGCAAGAGGGGACATCTTTGTCTTGTTCTCCATCTTAGGGAAAACGCCTTCTATTGTTTACCATTAAATACACTATTAGCCATGGCTTTTCATGAATGTGCTTTAACAGGTTGAGGAAATTGCCTTCTATTCCTGATTTTGTTGAGTTTATCTTGAGTTTGTCAGTACTTTTCTATGTCTCCTAAGGTTAACATGCGGTTCTACTCCCATAATTCTATATGGTGTATGACATTAATTCACTTTTGAATGTTAACCTGAATTCCTGTCGCTCTGGTATTTACTTCTAGTCACCGCTGGTCATGCTGTATCATCCGTGTCATATTAGTCACCACTGGTCATGCTGTATCATCCATGTCATATTAGTCACCGCTGGTCATGCTGCATCCATTTCATATTAGTCACTGCTGGTCATGCTGTATCATCCGTGTCATATTAGTCACCACTGGTCATGCTGTATCATCTGTGTCATATTAGTCACCGCTGGTCATGCTGTATCCATTTCACATTAGTCACCACTGGTCATGCTGTATCATCCGTGTCATATTAGTCACTGCTGGTCATGCCGTATCATCCGTGTCATATTAGTCACCGCTGGTCATGCCGTATCATCCGTGTCATATTAGTCACCGCTGGTCATGCTGTATCATCCGTGTCACATTAGTCACCGCTGGTCATGCTGTATCATCCGTGTCATATTAGTCACCGCTGGTCATGCTGTATCATCCGTGTCATATTAGTCACCGCTGGTCATGCTGTATCATCCGTGTCATATTAGTCACCGCTGGTCATGCTGTATCATCCGTGTCATATTAGTCACTGCTGGTCATGCTGTATCATCCGTGTCATATTAGTCACTGCTGGTCATGCTGTATCATCCGTGTCATATTAGTCACCGCTGGTCATGCTGTATCATCCGTGTCATATTAGTCACCGCTGGTCATGCTGTATCATCCGTGTCGTATTAGTCACCGCTGGTCATGCTGTATCATCCGTGTCGTATTAGTCACTGCTGGTCATGCTGTATCATCTGTGTCATATTAGTCACCGTTGGTTATGCTGTATCATCCGTGTCATATGCTGTTTGTTTGGTTTGCTGCTATTATGTTGAGTGTCTATATCATATTATCCTTCAGGTTTCTTGGAAGAGGTAGGTGGGAGTGGGGAATGAAAGATTGTAAAGAGTTGTGAGAAGACATTCTGGGGAGATGGTTGTGCTCCTTCTGGACACCTGGGTGTGTACCTTTCTCAAAAGTCTCAAGGCTGTGTCAATTTTACTTTTATAGAAATTGTGTAAGTTTTCTTAAAAGGCAGAGTGGGCCAGGAGCGGTGGCTCAGGCCTGTAATCTCAGCACTTTGGGAGGCTGAGGCAGGTAAATCACGAGGTCAGGAGTTCGAGACCAGCCTGGCCAGCATGGTGAAACCCCATCTCTACTAAAAATACAAAAATTAGCCGGTCATAGTGGTAGGTGCCTGTAATCTCAGCTACCTGGGAGGCTGAGGCAGGAGAATCTCTTGAACCAGGGAGTGAGAGGTTATTGTGAGCTGAGATCGCGCCACTGCTCTCCAGCCTGGGCAACAGAGGAAGACTCTGTCTCAAAAAAAAAAAAAAAAAAAAAAAAAAAACCCAAGGTGATAGAGAATTTTCAGGCTCTTAACATTGTTGCTTTTCTAACAAGTAAACTTTTAAAAAAATTCCCAGACAGCATAAGTCATGTGACAGTGATAATAAGTGTGTATATTGTTTGCAATTATTATCTTTTAAAAAACAAACCCGTGTCTTAAGATTATTTGCCGTGACTTCTCCTCTCACCCGATGGCTGGAGCTGCTCACCTGAGCTGGCGTCTCTCATAACTCACCTGGAGGTAGGATTCTGAGTGTCATTCTTAAATTGAAGTTTAAATAACAAATACACCAACAATTTATTCCCAAAAACCTTGGTACTGCATGAAAAGTTATTAAATGAAAAATATTCTCATAAATTATAGTGAAAAAATTGATGTATTTTGTTATAATCCAAGATATCCAATCTGCACAGATAGAAAAATCAATAATGAGAATGTATAAGAAACAAATACTGTAAAGGTGAATTGATTTGAGTGTAAAATGTGACGTGATGAAGGTTTGTCGTGTGCCCCGGAGGAAAACGGGGAGGTGGAGGGGCTGCTCCGCGTGAGGCACGTTCTGCTTTCTCTCCTGTTACCATCATCAGTGTCTTGATCCTTAAGGAACTGTATGGGTATCTAACACACACACACCGACGTAGAAATAAATCAGCTGCATGGTTATCTAACACACCAACGCACAAATCAGGTGCATCGGTATCTAACACACCAATGTAGAAATAAATCAGCTGCATGGGTATCTAACACACTGATGTAGAAATAAATCAGCTGCATGGTTATCTAACACACTGACATAGAAATAAATCAGCTGCATGGGTGTCTAACACACACACCGACATAGAAATCAGCTGCATGGGTATCTAACACACCGATGTAGTAGAAAAATCAGAGCCCACAAGAACATCTCAGGACTAACAAGGGCTAAACATACGTCACACTGAGACTCCTGAGAGCCGCACAGGCCCTCAGCATCCCCTAGGAAACGCGGCCCTTGTTCTCTCACTTTGTGGGTGACACAAGCAAACACTTGGTTTCTTCCCAAACTGCTGTGTAGAGGAAATGGGTCAGTGTGTATTTGTCTGAGATGACAGTGTCAAACATCTTATAGCATGTTTATATAAGGTGTGTTGGATGAAAAACTCATTATGCTAAAATAAATGGTTTATTATCTGAAACGTGGTTTAACTTCTCAAGAGTGTATCAAAAAGTCATTGAACAACTATTGAGACTTACGTGAAGTAAATCTGTGTTTGGCGAGGGACTGAGATTGTGGTGCACGTTTTTGCTGCAACATACAGCAAATCACCTTTCTTCTTACACAGATACCTCTTCTGGCTCAGAAGATGAAGGCTCAGTGCAGGGGGACTCCCAGGGCACCCCCACCTCCAGCCAGGGCAGCATCAATATGGAGCACTGGATCAGCCAGGCCATCCACGGCTCCACCACGTCCACCACCTCCTCGTCCTCTACGCAGAGCGGGGGCAGCGGGGCTGCCCACAGGCTGGCGGACGTCATGGCTCAGACCCACATAGGTGAGCACGCTTCACGGTGTCTTTCTGTGCCTGTTGTGTAAACGCCTTTGTGTGTGCACATTCTCTGTTTGCATCGTTGCAGCGGAATCCCTCGGTGGAAAGAGCACAGAGCTCCTCTGGCCCCTGGGGTGCTTTGGCTGGATTGTTTCTGGAAGCTGCTTTACACTTCTCATGCCCAGGTCCCTCCCACAGCTGCAATTCCAGGGGCCTTGTTCCTGGGGAATCCTGCAGCCGTATCCGCTCCCATCTTTTCTTCTCACTTATGCTCCTACATGAAACCTTAACAGTCCCAATCAACAGGACAGGGTTTTAAATGTGCTCGTCCTGACCGTGGGAGTCATTTAAGGAAACGAGGGCTTTAACCACAGCTGCTTGACGCTGCTGTCTGCCACAGGTGTTCAGACTTCTTGGGGGCCGGCACACTGCTTTGTGTAGGTTCTATGACAGGGAGATACTCTGTATGAGAAAAAGCACAAAGTTAGGATCACTGCCCTATGACGTTTGAACATGCTGTGGAAAAGGAGTAAAGTGAGAATTATTAGAGGAAGAGCTGGCACGTGGGGAGCGGTGATGGGCCTCACGTCGCTCTGCCTTTGAACGGTTCAGTAGTAAATGTTTTTCATCAAGTACGGGACTTGGGTTGAATAGGGTTTTGTGTGTGTCTCCATTAAAGCAGTAACCGGAGACGACTGCTTACCACGTCGCCGATAACGGAGCTCGAGCCACGGGCTCAGACCCTCCCGGTATCTCAGCTGCCGCAGGAAAACCTGATCCCTGAAAAAATCATCAGTGGGAAGCAGGTGCACGTCATTGTGATTAAATAGCCCACAGACACCCCAGAACCCCAGAATGTTCACTTCTAGATCACTGACTCCTTTACGCTCAGAGGCGTTTTGGATTGACTTGGGTCTCAGCCCCTTGGTCGCTCACTGAGACTTAAAGCGTCGGCCGTTTTCTGTCTGGAACAGGAGTTTGCTGGCAGGAGAGCTGGGTCTGTCTCACTTTTCCCAATAACTGCTGCTGGGATCTTGAAGTCAGTTCTCCTGCTTTTAGGCTTTTGGTGAGGAAAAAAATGAAAAAAACCATTTCTTTTTTCTCTCTCAGAACTGTTGTGAGTATAAAGGAGAAAATAGAAATACTCTGTAAAAGTTTGTAAAGTAATACTCAAATGCAAAGCAGTATTAAACTTCAGTTTAACACAGTTTCAGGAACATGTACACTGGTTTATGTGAATTAATAACCTGTACTTGAAATCACAGTACGTTAAACAATGAACAGGAATGTGTGACTGTTATTTTTTTTTGTAATAAAATTCCATGTGTATATTGGATCCCAGGATAGTGGCTGAGGCTCTGCCAGCTTTATCGGGCACCTGAACGGGGAGGCCAAACACCATCTCTGCCACTTGGGGGAAGCATTTGTATCCTCGGATTTTATTCAATTTTAAGGAAATGGGCAGAATCTTACCAAGGAAAACACATATTTTTGAACAAGTGAATCACGGCACTTGGCCTCCCTTTGCGGGTTTACCCTTGCAGTACTGGAGGAAGTTTTAGTACAAAGAATGTATCCAAACTATGAGGGGCTCATAACTCATGTACATCAAGGCTCAGTGTGACCCAAATGTAACTCTCGGGTGACCACATTCCGGTAATTTCTAATTAGGCACAAAGATAATCTTCCTAGACTATCTGGAAATTTTCTGTAACTTTGAAATTTTTTTGGAAAAAAAGCAGTGGCAAAATAATGAAACTTAATCAGAAAAGGAAAAATATTTTCTGTGGCAAAACAAAAGAAGTAAAAAGTCAGATTTGCACTTGACCTTGTGAGATAATCAGAAGCCTACAAACAGGAAAGTAGCGTGTGTGATCGTGCGTCTGCGTGCGCGTGAGTGTCCTAAGGAGTCCAAGCACAACAGATGGCTGAGTCACACTGGCCGATCCCTCCGGCAAGGGACAGAAGTGGAGGCTGCAGAGGCTGCTTGTGTCCGAGGGGAGAAAAGCCCAGGGCTGCAGACTCAGGTCACGGAGTCTCTCAGAGCTGGCCACGCTTCTACTTGCTGTTGAAGCAAAATCTCAAGTCCTTTGTGGATTTTTTCCACCAATTTAATTATGCCGGCAATTAAGTAGGGACATCTCACATGTATCTTAAGAGTCAAGCCAATTTGGCATAAGATAGGAAATCCCATTCTAGTTTTCTTTTTCCACTGCTCTACCCGCTGTCCATCTACAAGCTGTGTCCAGCGTTTTCACACCTCGGAGCTGAGAGGAGGCCTCCCAGACGCTACCATCCAAGTCCGCTGAGGACTTGAGGGGGTGTGTGTTGGTTCTGCAGGAAGTCGGGCCTGCCTGCCTCCAGGTGGAATGTCGTGGCACTGACGGGCGGTGTGGCGGGCCCTCCCCTTAGTTCTTGTCTTTTCAGTCACGGGTTCCCAGTGAACGGCATTGCCGAATCTACTTGTGACACCGGACTGACACCGTCAGGAGGGGCCGACGCCGTGTCCAGGCAGCTCGGCACCGCCCACCCGGCCCGATTCTCAGATCACAAAGCAGCGTCCTGTCACGGCCTCTTCTGTGCCTCGATCTTCTGTGTCCTGTTTTTGTGCGTTCAGTTGATTTCGCCGTCTAGACGGCCTCCGGGCACGGTGCGGACATGGGCAGCGTCCGGTGAAGAGAGGCTTTTGGGGATGAGCCCCACTTTCAGCGACACAAAGTACCGCCCTTCTGTTGCGTGGGACAGTGGCGGGGTGATCCTGAAAAGCTTCCATCAGAGGAGGATTCAGGATCGCGATCCGCATCGTGGCGCCCGTCATCAAGATTCTGGGTGTGACGGGCGTCATCAGTGGGCTGCTTGGCACATCTTCCTCAATGCGTTATTCATTAAATAGAAAAGCATGCTTTTCCCCATTCAGCCACGTACGGCTTAACTTTATCTCCAGGGGGTGCTGTAAGAGAAAGAGCTCCACGCGCTCATTGGCCTTACACGATCCTTAGTACACATTAGGGTGTAACGTGGTTTTTTGAATGACTGTTGTTGTTTGTACTAAGAGAAATAATAAAATAATAGTTCTTGATGTCTCCCCCTTTTATGAAGAAGATCCTATGAACTGTATACGTGTTAACTCACATAATCCACCCAACTACCCTACACGGTCATGGCCATTACTGTTCCCATTTGACGAAGAAACTGAGGCACGGAGAGCTTAAGGGACATCCCAAAATCCCCAGAAGTTTCCAGAGCCGGGTTTCCAATTCCAGGCCTTTGGCTGCGTCGACTGTGGCAGACAGGAAACAGGACCCCTCCGTGAACACACACAGGGTTCCTGACGCCCTGCCATTGCCAGTCTAACGTTATTCTAGTTAAAATGCTGCTGACATGGCTCCCGTTAGGAAATTACGTCTGAGGTTTTACCGAACTCTGCTCCATTTGCGGCAACATGAGTTATGCTGGGGTCCCCCTTTGTGCTGGATGTGTGTGGCAGATGCGGCTGAGATCGGCTCTGGCTTTCCATGGCACACCCAGGGTGAGCACCTGTGCTTCAGTCTCTTCCTGGGCTGTGGCTTGTTCCACCTTCAGAGCAAACATCACAACCACCAGAAAATCTCATGATGTGTTTCTTTACAGAAAATCATTCTGCACCTCCTGACGTAACCACGTACACCTCAGAGCACTCGATACAGGTGGAGAGACCGCAGGGTTCCACGGGGTCCCGGACAGCGCCCAAGTACGGCAACGCCGAGCTCATGGAGACCGGGGATGGTACGTCCCAAAGGAGAGATGCGTTTTTTTCTGGTAAACGGTTTGTGCTGACGTCCCGTTCCGTGCCCATGACTGGATGTGTTTCTTCCTGGGGTACAATCGGTTCTGACAAAGCCAATTTATCAGATCTTCGGGAGCCTCTCATGGAAGGTGGCCTAGCCACAAAAATGCAAATATTCTCCAAGTGAGCCCACAGTTATTCCTTGTAGGAAAAATGTAAATGTTGTAGGAATTTAGTCATGAGAAGAAAAAGAAATTTTAGAATTTGCTGCCGTTTTTGCTGCTGAATAACGGTGGTTCAGCAACTGAGAAATTCTTGTACAGGTGTGTTAAGACCATGAACAGTCACTTAGAAGAGCAAGATGAAGTTAAATGTACAACAGAATTACTGTCAGATGGGCTGATATGTTGCTTTAGACTTTGGAGGAAAGAGGGTCTTTTTATCCACGTTGGACAGAGATATCGGTGACTTGGTAACAGGCTGTGGCCGAGGGCTTCTTCCTTCCTTCTTTGTGGCCCAGTCTTGGTATATTCTGACTACAGCGGCTGTTCGTGTCACTCAGCCCCTATTCCATTTAGGTCTCAGTCCTTCCCGAGGTCATAAAAGTCAGGGTAGAACCTAGCGGTGAAATACAATGCCCTTGTGTGAAGCTGCATGGAGCAGCCTTGGTATGCTGTCATCTTGCGGTGCACGGGACTCACAGGCGGACAGGGAGGCCTATCAGAGCCCCGACAGGCACAGTGGACAGGGAGGCCTATCCGAGCTCCGACAGGTGGACGGGGATGCCTATCTGAGGCCTGACAGGTGCAGTGAACAGGGAGGCCTATCGAAGCCCTGACAGGAACAGGTGGACAGGGAGGCCTGTCCGCGCCCTGACAGGTGCAGGTGGACAGGGAGGCCTGTCCGAGCTCTGACAGGTGCAGGTGGACAGGGAGGCCTATCCGAGCTCCGACAGGTGGACGGGGATGCCTATCTGAGGCCTGACAGGTGCAGTGAACAGGGAGGCCTATCGAAGCCCTGACAGGAACAGGTGGACAGGGAGGCCTGTCCGCGCCCTGACAGGTGCAGGTGGACAGGGAGGCCTATCCGAGCCCTGACAGGTGCAGGTGGACAGGGAGGCCTATCGAAGCCCTGACAGGAACAGGTGGACAGGGAGGCCTATCCGAGCCCTGACAGGTGCAGGTGGACAGGGAGGCCTGTCCGAGCTCTGACAGGTGCAGGTGGACAGGGAGGCCTGTCCGCGCCCTGACAGGAACAGGTGGACAGGGAGGCCTATCCGAGCCCTGACAGGTGCAGGTGGACAGGGATGCCTATCCGAGCCCTGACAGGCGCAGGCAGACAGGGAGGCCTATTTGAGCCGACAGGCACAGGCGGACAGGGAGGCCTATCCGAGCCCTGACAGGAACAGGTGGACAGGGAGGCCTATCCGAGCCCTGACAGGCGCAGGCAGACAGGGATGCCTATCCTAGCTCCAACAGGCGCACTGCCACATCCTCACGTGAGGCAGAGCCCAACTGTGCCTTCGTAAGTGTCCAGTTAGTGCGCTTGAAATCGCCCTGATTGCCAGTGCGATGACTTTTCCTGGAATGCCTTTTGGTGTCATTATTTGCTTTAGTTCTCTGATGAGTTCGTCTTTACTAAATTGGCCATTTTTGTTATTCTTGTCATTTTAGTAACTTTGTCGTCTTTCAAGTCTGTACCTTTGCCTTTGTTCCCCAGGTAAATCCTGCGTGGTGTGTTGTGCTGTCTCGGCGTGTCATAGCCTCCCACACCAGAATCCCACAGGGGCCCTTGCTGGGAGGGTGATTCTGGGTCACACCCCAGACGTCATGAGCTAGAAGTTCGGGGGTCCCTGAGGCAATTCTGACATCTGCCAAATTAAGCTTGAGAATCGTTGGCCTGGTGGAATGGTATGATTCATCTGAACCAAATTAGTTGGGCTATTTAATGGGAACATACTATGTGTGGATATTGAGAGTTCTGGATTGTGTGTTTTTCTGTATTTTCAGAGATATGAAATATTTAATGTCTCAATTCTTAAAGTGCTATAGAGCATTTTGAGACTACCTATTAAAAAATCTTGATAGAAAAAATTTCCTTGAATTCTGTTCTATTCCCCGCAAATGTTGAAGTCTGTTTTTTATGGTCCAGTGCGGGGGCGAACAAGGGCTCTGCCTCAGGTGAGGGGAATGGACTGCCAGCTGCACCTACAGAGACCCCTGCACCGTCCAAGCCCACAGCTCTGGGTGATGGTTTCCCAGGTCCTGCCGGCCTGCAGCGTGTGCCTGAGGAGGACGCTTTTGATCTAGTTGTGGCATCAGCGTCTTGGTCCTCTGTCTTGTTCATTTGATTTATTTATCTTAAAATTTGAAAACCTTGACTCTTTCATTGATCAAACCAGTTGATTTTCAGAATGGTGCAGCATTCATTATAATTAGCACAGTATTTTAAAATGGGGCTTTTCTCGGTCCACTTGGATAGGTAGGGGCTAGTATTCTGTTACACAAAAATTTGAATTTAGAGACTTTAACTTCTGTGCTTTAGGATGCATTGCCTGTGTGTGGGCTGAGCTGCGTGGGTTTGGAACGCGTGTGAGGAGCTCAGTCTTTATTAGGAGTGGACAGGGCTTGGGCGTGGTGGTGCTGAAACCTGAGCCCGGGGCTGTGGGATGCTGGGGGTTCCAGACGTGACTCAGCGGCCCGATGTTCTCGTGCCTCCATGAGGCTGAATGCTGGTGTGAGGCTGAATGCTGGTGGTCTCTGGAGAGATAGACGCAGGGAAGGACTTACTGCTCCACGGATGGTCTCACCCTGTTGAGAAGAGGGGGCCTGGGGCAGTGGGAATGAGGAGTCTGCCCTCTGCAGGTGACAATTCTGTCCTGAGAATCAGAGCTGGGGTCAAGCAGGTGTGGCCCTGAGGCTCCTCCCAGCATGACCAGCAGAACAGCACATCCTGGAACGTGGTAGACATTCGGGTCCGATGTATCTCTGTCCGGTCTCCTGCCTAGCCACGGGGCTACCGTACAGCATGATCACCTCGGGCCCTTCCCAGGATCGCATCTAGGATGCAGCCTGTTGTAGCCGCGCTGGGGAGGGGGCTGTGGGACTGTGGGACTGTGGGTGCTCATTGAAGCTGTGATGATCGCTTTCCCCACCCGCTGATTCCTGTTTTTCAGGAGTACCAGTAAGTAGCCGGGTGTCAGCAAAAATCCAGCAGCTTGTCAATACCCTCAAACGACCGAAACGACCACCTTTACGAGAATTCTTTGTCGATGACTTTGAAGAATTATTAGAAGGTGAGAGAACTCTTTACCACACGTTTCTTCCAGATGCTCCTATGGTCCCGTAAACAATGATATTTTTTTCTGCAAGGCTATTTTACTTTTTAAGAGCAGTAATCGTGGCATTTGCCGCATGATGGGAACCCAGGTAGGGAGCGGGTGATGTTCCCAGGCAGCCTTGGTGTCGGCAGGTCTCTAAACCTGGTTGTTAGTCGTCCTCTGTGGGAGTTGATTTTGTTCTGTGACCCAGGTCAGGTCTCTCTCTAAGAACTCTGTAAGAGTATAGAAATACAAGTAAAGTATAAACATGTAGAAAAACAAGTAAACTGGGGAAATCCTTCGCTGGCAGCAAAACTGGCGTGTGAAGTGCTGTCTCCTCCCTCCTCCTGCTGCCTCTCCTTATAGGTGCCGGAGCTGCTGCCTTTGCCCCTGAATGCTCCTGGGTCTTTTTAGACAAACAACTTAAAGTTGAAATAAAGCACAAGAACTGCTCATTGTAGCAAACTTGAGCTCCTTAGTATCTTATGTGTTAAACCACAAGTAGAAACGACTGATTTTGTCAGTCATAAAGTGACAGACAAGTCTGTTCCAGAAATGGAAGAGATAATTTCCATTCTTCACCTCTCTCAAGGATTGGGCAGGTGGTATTTATGATGCACTGATTTTAGTTTTACTCAGGAAAATACTCACTCCGTGTTCCTGTTATTCAGAGTACTTGTAGCAGATTTAAATGTACAGCTCAGGCCAGGTGCGGTGGCTCATGCCTATAATTCCAGCACTGTTGGAGGTCAAAGTAGGCAGATCACTTGAGCCTGGGAGTTCGAGACCAGCCTGGGCAATATGGCAAAACCCTGTCTCTACCAAAAAAAAAAAAAAATATATATATATATATACACACACACACACACACACACACACACACACACACACAAATATATATGTGTGTGTATATATATATTGCCCAAACCTGTCTCTACAAAATATATATACATTTTATATATATATACACATTATATATATACACATTATATATATATATATGTACACACACACACACACACACACACACACACACATACATACACACTCTAAAATTAGCTGGGCGTGGTGGTGCATGCCTGTAGTCCTAGCTACAGGCTAGGACTGTAGCAGAGGCTGAAGTGGGAGGATAACCTGAGCCTGGGAGGTCGAGGCTGCAGGGAACTGTGATCATGCCACTGCACTCCAGCCAAGGCAAAAGAGAGAGACCCTGCCTCAGAAAATATATTTATCATTAATCTTTCAGGACAAAATATAATTTAGCAAGATTTAAGCAATTTGGGGTCCAAAATCACTAGCTGATGTTGGTAATGGAAATTTCAGCATGGCTGTTTGAATTCCAGCCTCTGGGCACAGTGTGCAGCGCAGTTTCCACCTGTTATCAGTTTGCAGCTGTGTGCAGGTCCACCTAAGCGCTCTACCCACATGCTGCCTTGGAAATTACAAGAACTAATTTTTTACCAGCATCCGTGATGCTAGTGTATAGACCCCAATTCTAGAAAAGCATGCTTTTCTGTCAGCTAATAAATGTACAGCTTAAGTATAAATCTCTTGGCTTCTTTATAAAGAATAAAAAGTAGCCATGCTAATGTGGATGCATTTCTCTTGTAACCTCTTGTATTCAAACGATTTAGTTCAACAACCGGATCCGAACCAACCAAAGCCGGAGGGGGCCCAGATGCTGGCCATGCGCGGAGAGCAGCTGGGCGTGGTCACGAACTGGCCGCCGTCGCTGGAGGCCGCACTGCAGAGGTGGGGCACCATCTCGCCCAAGGCGCCCTGCCTGACCACCATGGACACCAACGGGAAGCCCCTCTACATCCTCACTTACGGTAATCCCCAGGCTCACTCTCTGCCCTTTGCCCACCCCCTCGCACAGCCACTCCCGAACGCAGGAAACTCAGTGTCCGTTTACATCCTCACTTAAGGTAATCCCGAGGCTAACCCTCTGCCCTTTGCCCACGCCCTCGCGCAGCCACTCCCGAACGCACGAAGCTCAGTGTCTGTTTAAATCCTCACTTAAGGTAATCCGGAGGTTTACCCTCTGCCCTTTGCCCACCCCCTCGCGCAGCCACTCCCAAACACACAAAGCTCAGTGTCTGTTACTTCTGGTGACTGATTGATTTTGTGCTGCCTTATGTTTCCGCACAGAAATAAATGGAATCTCAAGAAACTCTTTAGGAAAACTATTTGATTTCAATATAAAAAGTTATTTGTTAAATATTTTTTGAGTTAAAACCAGAAATGGCTGCTTGAAGCAGTGACCATAGCTCTAATAAGATGTTAGATCTTAAATACATGTGTGATTTATTGAAATGCATGCTTTCAGCAAAGATTGGTAGTTAGAAAAAATGTCTATCTAAACTTTCTGGTATGTATCACTCAGAAAAATCAAAATCGGTTTCCAAGGGACTTTTTCAGAAGGCCAGAGAAACCGCCTTTCCCTTAAGTCTTCAGTACAATTAATACAGTCTGTAAGCTTTTTGCACATGGTTAACGGTAGCAGAGAAGTGCGTTTCTCTTTTTTCTGTGGATAAGAGGCCATGGAGGGGCAGATTGTCAGGCTATTTTCTGTCTGCTTCAGCTTTACAAAGAAAGTAGTAACTAAAAGGCTGGCATGATGGCTCATGCCTGTAGTCCCAGCTGCTTGGGAGCTGAGGCAGGAGGAGGAGGTCGAGGCTGCATTGAGCTATGATTGTGTCACAGCACTCCAGCCTCAGTGACAGAGCAAGACCCCATCTCTAAAAAATTAATCAGTTAGAATTTTCAAAAGATACGAAAATAACTGAAGGACCAAAATGGTTCATATTGTGTCTGCATGTCTGAGATTTATGTTGATAGCTGAAATTTTAAACATAGCTGTTTCAGTTCTAGACTCTTGGGATAGTACAGTACATAGTTCCGCCTGTTGTCAGTTGGCAGGTTTTGTTTTTAACTTTAGCTTTTGTTGTTACAACACTTTTCTGATTGCAGGTAGGAAAGGAATTGATTTCTACATTAGCCATGGAGGTCAAAAGCCAGATGCTATGTTGAACCGTGGAACCTCAGACCCTAGCCTTTCAGGGTGGGGCTCTGGGAGGCAGCAGCTGTCAACCTGTGCATCTCAGGACAGATGTGGGATTTGGGCCTAGGAGCATATTGGGTTTGGGAGCGTGCGTTTCGTAGCCCCTTTGCTTTTATGGCTTCATTGAGTAGTTTTAAATGGACAGTGTGTGGCATCCATGATGAAGCATAAACTTTATTTTTTTAATTATGCTCTCAGAAATAGGTTTTATTGAGTCAAAAGCATGAAAGACTTTTCTATGTGACCCTCATCTCCGGCCAAATTCAGCCCTGGAGCTAATTGTGTACTTGGAGTCGCTGCTGCATGACAGCTGATGGCCTCTGAGGCCTCCCCGCCTACATGCGGGGAATTCCAGGAGCAGCCGAACTGTTCGGGTGCATGTGTTCACTCTGAGAACTAATAGACGTTCACTTGGGTGTTTTAAGCATGCAGTATGCATTGGCACAGAACTAAGCTTTGGGAAATCAAAGACAATAAGACACAGTTCTCACGGGGCTTCTGATGTCGATCAGAAGGATCGCCACTCTCTGCTGCTGGAACTTTGAACAGGGTTGGTGTCTTTCCCCTTCCTGCAAGGTTAAGATGAATGGGAGACGTAAGACACAGACTGAATATTCATATGAAAAGTTGGATTCTTCAGAACTCATGCCCACAACCAAAGCATTTTAACTCCTTTATATGTTGTATTTTAATCATCTATATGTTGTATTTTAATTATCCATTTTAATTGCAGGCTGTGGGTTGATCTTGGTTTTTACTTGTTAAAGGAATGTAAGAAAGCAACACATTTCCAAATTTAAGATTACAGCTTATCAGATGAAAACGCAGTGAACACTGGAAAGCGCCATCTGCGTAGAAACGCTAACGTAGATGAACGCATGACTGGGTGTTGCTACGATGAGTCAGAAACAAGCTCGTCGAATGAGAATTGTTCTAATACTGAGTGATTTGGTATCGAATGAGAATTGTTCTAATACTGAGTAATTTGGTATCGAATGAGAATTGTTCAAATACTGAGTAATTTGGTATCGAATGAGAATTGTTCTAATACTGAGTAATTTGGTATCGAATGAGAATTGTTCTAATACTGAGTAACTTGGTGTAACTGAAGGGGCTGTATTCTCTAAAGTCCTGCCGTTTCCCCTCAACCCCCAAATTTAGCTTCCTACGAAGCGCTGGGGTAGCAGAATTCCCAGCGGATAAACTTGGGATCAGTAACAGAAAGTGTAGGTGGCTAATGAAAGCCACAACTGAATAAACTTGTAAAACATCATTCTGTTTTCCACTTTAGACTACCCGTGGCATTTCATAATCTTAATAAAAATAAGTCACGCTGTGCTGTTAATTTCCCTTCACGTCCTGCCTCACAGCAGCTCTCTGGTACGCTCTTCCTCTGCCTCCTCTGTGGATTTCTGGAGAGACCTATACGTTCATCTGGCTTTCCTACCAAGGAGATGCTCATGCTCATCTCCCTTTTAACGTTTTATTTATGGTTTTCCTTTTACTCCAGATGTTTCAAGAAATCTACATGCTTGAGCTAGCAGCACGCTGGGCCACCTTTCTGTGGCCTTGCTGCTTTTTTGCGTGGTTGATGGTGTCTCTCTCAAGCTCCCGCCTCCTTCCCGGGCTTGCTCCGGTTCAGCCCTTCGCCACCCACCGCCTCTCCCCTCACCAGTTACACTCTGTTCAGTTGCCTGTTCCTCAGTCAAAGCCAAGCGAAATTACAATTAATATCTAATACAATAGTGCTGACATCACACACATCTCCTTTATGAATCAGTTAAGAACTGCTGTATCTTTATATCAGCAGCTTAACTTCCTGCCTTTTCTCTTTGAGAAGTATAAAAATACCAAATATATTTCAAGAATTTTTCCAAAAGTTTGCATGTGTTTTATCAAACTCTCTATTGTTAACTAGCTTGTGTATGAACTTAGGATGTCAAGACTCTTAGCTGAGAATGAAGTTGAAACTTTCACAAACTAGAATGGTGCTAATTGAGTGTAATTGATTTATTCAGTTACAACACATTGTTTTTCTTTCAGTTGCAAAGAATTGATTGTAATTGTTTTACCCAACTATAATAGTTCCCTAATCTTGTTCACATTAAAGAAATCTGAAGCCACAAAATAATTGTTTTTGTTGGGGAAAAAATACTCCCTGAATTATATCTAATGAGCCAGTGATCTTTTCCAGGAAAATAAAATCCCCTAATAGAATTCCAGATGACTGTAAAGCTGCCCGTCTTGAAGACTGCCTATGGTGTTGAGGATGAGGAGCTAAGGAAGACAGGAGGAGGGAACATGAATAAATGTGTGTCTAGCAATTAAGTGCTCAAGAATATGCTAGAATGCACACCGTAACTTTGTATTTTATTACAGCTTGCCTGCGACATCAGTAAAATGAAGAAACATTTGCTGAGCACGTAGTATGACCGGGAAGTGTCCTAGGAACCAGAACAATCAAAGATAATCATTCTCTTCACGTTCTCATTAGCAAGGGGATAAATACTGTGGTAGATAAATAATAATAACACTAATCTAAGGAACTCTCATTCTGATATGAAATTAATTCAGGGTGTTTTAATTTGCACTGTGTTGTAAACGACAAAATCTGATTTAGTGTTTGGATTTAAAAGAGGGAAAAGATTAAAACAGTGATGGTACTGAAATAGAAAACAGTTAAGATAGCTGTTACCTTTATTACACTATTACAGCATTATCACGTCTTCTAACACCTTGACTACTGAGACGCTCTGGCAGCTGAAGCCTCTGAGACTAGGTTGTAAAAGGCCATTGTGTATTTAAGAACTCATTTTAGGCTTTAAAGTCATTGTTATTTGATCTCAGACTGTTACATTTACCATTATCTTTATCTGAATCCAAGGATTGTGATTAAAAACCCTAAAACCCTGAGGTTAGGAAAGTTTGAAGGTGAGAAACACAGGGCTTGTGAGTTTGGAGCCTCTCGAGGCAGTTTTCTGCTCTGTGTTGCTCACATTCACGTGAGACCGGCTGTGGATGAGGGACGTCACCGGGAGTGACTTTGTGGCAGTGACACCGTTGCGGTGGCCCCAGAGGACTTTCCTCCCTACAACCTTCCCCGCGGTTTCTGTGCTGACCTTGCTGCAGGCACTTCATGCACTAAGAGGGGATTTGTTTTGTGCCGGCCTTGTTCCAGTGTCCAGGCAGCTCTGACTGTTGGAGTCATTGCTTTTACTCCTCTTGACTCCAGGGACTCAGGATGAGTTTGAAGCTTTGATCTGCTAGGAGAAGGTTCTCAGGGCCCTCCCGCTCCCTGATGGTGTCATTTCAGCTGGGCAGATCCCAGCCCTGTGACGACGGTGTGTGCACTGTCCGCGCCCCCCCTCGCCACCCCCACATCACAGACAGATCAGAAGACAGGCCAACACTTGGTTTTAGCTTTTTTATTTTCATTCTCTCTCCTGAAGTTTTGTCTTTAGAATCCCTGATGCTTTTCTACTTTCACTCATTTTCCATTCTTGCCTACCAGTTCCCCCTTTGCTCAGCTGCCCCCACTTCAAGTCGCTTGCAGACCATGATACGCAGGAAGCAGAATGGACTCATGTCCTAGACTTTGACTTGCAGAAGCTGTGCTCTCCGTATGGTTTAATACGCACATTTGTCTGTGATTTGTATTCATAGGCAAGCTGTGGACAAGAAGTATGAAGGTCGCTTACAGCATTCTACACAAATTAGGCACAAAGCAGGAACCCATGGTCCGGCCTGGAGATAGGGTAAGTGCAACTTAAACTGCTGGATCTACAAAACACAAGAGTCCTGTGGGAAAAGGTGCCCACTGTTTAAACATTACAGAGTTCAGCGCCACCTCCACTTTCTATTGGAAAGCAAGTTTTTATTCTTAACTGCTACCTGGTAAGTTACACAGGACAGATACTATTAATGGTGTCTCCATTCTAACATTACATCCTGAGCAGGTAATGGTCTTGTCCATGCTTTATGCCCCAGTTTAGATGTGGAGCTTGGTATAGAAGCTGGTTTTCTTGCATTTATGTGTAGAGCCTTTTTACCTATGTGCTTTAGATGCCCCCAAGATTAGGTTATCCTACCTAAAGGACTCCAAGTGAATTACATAAAGACATCATTTAGAGCTCCATAAACCAACAAGAGCATGAGCTTTGATTACTTAAGCAATACTATAAAGGCATGAGTCTGCTGTGGGCATGTTCAACAGATTGCAGCAGCTCCAGGAGACCGTGGCCTGGGATTCTTTCCCATTTTTTATTGAACACGTTTGGCCTCTTTTAAAAGTAAATTGTAGGTGTCATATTTCCTGATCGTAAAATTTACTACAAAGCTTATAATAATCACAACAATGTGGTACTGGCTTAGAGACAGACACATACACCAGTGGAACAGAATAAAGGGCCCAGAGATAAACCCTCATGTATATGGATAAGTGATTTCCACAGGTGCCAAGATACTCAACGGGGAAAGGACAGCCTTTCCAACACACAGTGCTGGGAAAACTGGACATCCACCTGCAAGAGAATGAAGGCGGATGTTTACCTAACATCATATGCAAAAAATTCATTCAAAATGGACCAAACGCCTAAATGTAAGAGCTAAAGCCAAAACCTAGAAGAAAACATAAAGAAAATGCCTTAGAAGAAAATATAGAGAAGACACCTCATGACCCTGGATTTGGCAACAGTTTCTTGGATGTGGCACCCGAACCACAGGCAACAAAAGGAAAATAAATAAATTGGACATTTACATTAAACATGTTTGTATATCAAAGAGTACTATCAAGAGAGTGAAAAGGCCACCTACAGAATGGGAGAAAATGCAAATTATTTGCCAACAGAGATTAATATCTAAAATATTTAAAGAATTCCTACAAGTCACCACCACCAAAAAAAGCAACAACAACAAAAACGTTTAAATGGGCCAGAGACTTGAGTAAACGTTTCTCCAAAGATTTAGCAGTGGCCGATAAACACATGAAAAGATGCTCAGCATCCTTGATCAGGGAAAAGCAAAGCAAAACCTCAGTGAAATGCTGCTTTACACCGAGAAGCACGGCAATTACTAAACTACTGAAAAGGGCACGTGTTGGCAAGGATGTGGGGAAGTCGGAACCCTTGCGCATTGCTGGTGACAGTGTAAAATGGTGCAGCCTCTCCGAAAAACGTGACAGTCCCTCAAAGAATTAAACATGGAATTACTGTGTGATCCAGCAGTTCTGCTTCGGGGTGTGTACCCAAAAGGATTGAAAACAGAGTCTAGGAGAGAGATGAGTACACTCAGGCTCATAGCAGCCGACTCACACAACCAAATGGTGGAAGCAACCCCAAATCCACGGACTAGATGTGGATTTCCCATTAGAAGGGAGGAAGTTCTGACACATAACACATGGATGAACCTTGCAGATACTATGCCTAGTAAAGTAAGCCAGACACAAAACAGGTATTGCGTGATTCCGTTCCTGCGAGCGTAACTACCCAACAGTTCACCTTGCCCGCTGCCTGGCCAGAGCCGATTTGTCTAGACGGGGATTGCAATGGAGAAAGTGATTCACGCAGAGCTGGCTGTGCGGGAGACTGGAGTTCTATTATTTCTCAAATCGGTCTCCCCAAGTGTTTGAGGATCGTTCAGAGTTTTTAAGGATAACTTGGCGGGTGAGGGCTTGGGAAGTGGGGAGTGCTGATTGGTCAGGTTGGAGATGGGATCGTAGGGGGTCGAACTGAGTTTTTCCTGCTGTCTTCTGTTCCTGGGTGGGTTCGCAGAACTGGTTGAGCCAGATGACCTGTCTGGGTGGTGTCAGCTGCTCCATCCAGTGCAGGGTCTGCAGAATACCTCCAGCACTGATCTTAGGTTTTATGATAGTGATGTTATCCCCAGGAGCAATCTGGGGAGATTCAGACTGTTGGAGCCAGAGGCTGCATGACCCCTTTAGGGTCATGCAGTAATTTCTAATCTTGTAGCTAATTTGTTAGTCCTACAAAGGCAGACTGGTCCCCAAGCAAGAAAGGGGTAATTTCGGGAAAGGGCTATTACCAGTTTTGTTTCAGAGTCAAACTATGAACTGAATTCCTTCCCAAGGTTAGTTTGTTCTCCACCCAGGATTGAACAAGGGACAGCTTAAAGGTTAGAAGCAAGATGGAGTTGGTTAGGTCTGATCCCTTTCAGTGTCATAATTTCCTCAGTTATCATTTTCACAAGAGTGGTTTCATGACATCCCTAGAGTAGTCCAGCTGTAGAGAAACAAAAGCAGAAAGGTTAGGTGCCAGGGACTGGGGGAGAGGAATGCAAAGTTCGTGTTTAATAGGGACAGAGTTTCCATTTGGGAAGATGAGAAAGTTCTAGAGATGGCTGGTGGTGGCAGTTGTATAACCTTGTGATTGTGCTTCATGCTACTGAATTCTACGTGTAAAAATTGTTAGAATCGTAAATTTTGTGTTACCACATAATGAAACGTTAATTGTAATGGAATAGCTCCTTTATCTGTAATGTGGTTTGTAGTCTTAAGAGTTGTTTTAAAAATTCTTTCATAGTATGGCCTCCAGATACTTGAAGTTTCCATATGATAATAATCACAAAATAAACTCCTGTGTTCCTCTAAGATGTCAGTAGAGATACGGGAGCACGGTTTGATGAAATATGTAAAGAGGCTTATTTTGGGCAGGGATTGGTTTGGCTTGGTTGGGTCAGGGGTGAAGGCGCTACTTTTCTAAAATTTTTCTGAGGAAAGATTATCTGAGAAGGGCTCTCGAGGAGAAAAGATGAGCCGGTAGCTCTTGGGCGGGTTCCAGGAAGTAGCGTGGAAGGTGCTGAAGCCTTTCGCCTGGACAGCAGGGCCGGCTGTGTGAGGAGCCCTGGAGGGGAGCTGGGAATCCTTCAGCCGGAAAGGCCTTTGCTCCCCTGAAGAGTTGAGTGTGCGTCTCCTGATCGGCTGATGCCTGCTGTGTGAATAATTAGGTACAGTGAAGTATCAAAGAAGTACACAGAGGATTGAACGGAGGGAAGCCATGTGGGTTTACAAAAATCGAGCGTCTTTGTATTTGTCCAGTATTGTATTGGGATCACTATGGAGGTAGCAATACAACAGGATTTGTGACTGATTCAAATACTGAAGGAATGCCTAACAAAAATGATGTAAGTACAACGTTCTCTTCCTTAAAACAAATTGCAAAAAAATTTTCAGTTTTGATGCTAAAAGAGCCTTTAAGTATTTTACCCTTTTCTATCCATTACTTGTATTGTTGTGTGTGTACAATAATGTACAATTTTATATTCTGCTTTTATTAACTTTGTTATACCACATTTCAGTACAACTCTGCAGTGGTCTATAATATGAAATTTTCAGCATTAACTCTAGTGATAAATCAGTGAGAATTTTAAACCCCTGATAAAGAAGAACTTCCTTTGAGCAGAGGCAACAGGAGCTGGGAGAGGAGGCAGACACGAGGTGCTTCTCGGGAGAGGGCTGATCGCCGTCTGGCCGTGGGGATGACACGCATCCTCTCCGTCTCAGCTGTCTGCCCTTGGTGAAGACTCTGCCTCCAGAGCTGGTATTCTGGGAAGATTAACAAGTCAGAACTGAACATGTTCTCATGAATGGGTGCAACCATCAGTTTTGGATGGAACTTCAACATCTGAATTTTCTAACGTTTCCTGGTGTTTTTTGGTCCGCCTTAGGGGAAGAAGTTGTACAGCAGTGGTAATGTGGAAATCTTACAAACATTTAACTGAATACTGTTTGTTCACCATATCAAGATCTGAAAAACATGCCATCAGCTCTCAGTCCGTCACATGACACTCATGCCTAGTGTAAACCTCGGATAGTTTGAAGAAATAATTGGTTGTGGCTTATCCGCATAGATGTACAAATAATTTTATTCCCTTTCTAATCTCTCTTAGCAAATTGTAGTGGACTATAGAAATTCCATACAGAAAGGAAATATTCATATATTCATAGAATCTACAACTTAATTTTGTGTCTGCCAGTGATCCTGCATTCCGACCTTTCCAGCATGGCCTGCTCCCCTCTCAATGACCATCTGGATGCTTTTATGTCAGCCTGCTTACTTAGATACACAGATGATTAGGATGTTTGTCTAAAACTGTTCGTGATGAAATTACTTCCAGTTAGGACATTTTTCATAAAAAATTGTTTAACTTCAAGAATGAGGCCTGGTGCGGTGACTCATGCCTGGAATCCCAGCACTTCGAGAGGCTGAGGTGGGCAGATGACTAGGTCAAGAGATTGAGACCAGCCTGGCCAACATGGTGAAACCCTGTATCTACAAAAAATAGAAAAAAATTGGCTGAGTGTGGTGGTGCATGCCTATAGTCCTAGCTATTCGGGAGGCTGAGGCAAGAGAATCGCTTGAACCGGGGAAGCAGAGGTTGCAGTGAGCCGAGATTGCACTACTGTACTCCAGCCTGGGTGACACAACAAGACTCTGTCTCAAAAAAAAAAAAAAAATCCAGAATGAAGTAATGCAAAAATGATGCACATGTGCTAAATCATAGGATTCACGTGCTGATGAACACATACCAAACTTGTCCATAAGGAAGAGTAATGCTAATGCTACCACACATGTAAAATCATAGGATTCATGTGCTGATGAAAATGTACCAAACTTGTCCATAAGGAAGAGTAATGCTAATGCTACCACACATGTAAAATCATAGGATTCATGTGCTGAGGAACACATACCAAACTTGTCCATAAGGAAGAGTAATGCTAATGCCACCACACGTGTAAAATCACAGGATTCATGTGCTGAGGAACACATACCAAACTTGTCCATAAGGAAGAGTAATGCTAATGCCACCACACGTGTAAAATCACAGGATTCATGTGCTGATGAAAACGTACCAAACTTGTCCATAAGGAAGAGTAATGCTAATACTACCACACATGTAGAATCACAGGATTCATGGGCTGATGAAAATGTACCAAACTTGTCCATAAGGAAGAGTAATGCTAATGCTACCACACGTGTAAAATCACAGGATTCATGTGCTGATGAACACATACCAAACTTGTCCATAAGGAAGAGTAATGCTAATGCTACCACACATGTAAAATCACAGGATTCATGTGCTGATGAACACATACCAAACTTGTCCATAAGGAAGAGTAATGCTAATGCTACCACACGTGTAAAATCACAGGATTCATGTGCTGATGAAAACGTACCAAACTTGTCCATAAGGAAGAGTAATGCTAATGCTACCACACATGTAAAATCACAGGATTCATGTGCTGATGAACACATACCAAACTTGTCCATAAGGAAGAGTAATGCTAATGCTACCACACATGTAAAATCACAGGATTCATGTGCTGAGGAACACATACCAAACTTGTCCATAAGGAAGAGTAATGCTAATGCTACCACACATGTAAAATCATAGGATTCATGTGCTGAACACATACCAAACTTGTCCATAAGGAAGAGTAATGCTAATGCTACCACTCATGTAAAATCATAGGATTCATGTGCTGATGAAAATGTACCAAACTTGTCCATAAGGAAGAGTAATGCTAATGCTACCACACATGTAAAATCACAGGATTCATGTGCTGAGGAACACATACCAAACTTGTCCATAAGGAAGAGTAATGCTAATGCTACCACATGTGTAAAATCACAGGATTCATGTGCTGATGAAAATGTACCAAACTTGTCCATAAGGAAGAGTAATGCTAATGCTACCACACATGTAAAATCACAGGATTCATGTGCTGATGAAAATGTACCAAACTTGTCCATAAGGAAGAGTAATGCTAATGCTACCACACATGTAAAATCACAGGATTCATGTGCTGATGAACACATACCAAACTTGTCCATAAGGAAGAGTAATGCTAATGCTACCACACATGTAAAATCACAGGATTCATGTGCTGAGGAACACATACCAAACTTGTCCATAAGGAAGAGTAATGCTAATGCTACCACACATGTAAAATCATAGGATTCATGTGCTGATGAACACATACCAAACTTGTCCATAAGGAAGAGTAATGCTAATGCTACCACTCATGTAAAATCATAGGATTCATGTGCTGATGAAAATGTACCAAACTTGTCCATAAGGAAGAGTAATGCTAATGCTACCACACATGTAAAATCACAGGATTCATGTGCTGAGGAACACATACCAAACTTGTCCATAAGGAAGAGTAATGCTAATGCTACCACACGTGTAAAATCACAGGATTCATGTGCTGATGAACACATACCAAACTTGTCCATAAGGAAGAGTAATGCTAATGCTACCACACGTGTAAAATCACAGGATTCATGTGCTGATGAAAACGTACCAAACTTGTCCATAAGGAAGAGTAATGCTAATGCTACCACACATGTAAAATCACATGATTCATGTGCTGATGAACACATACCAAACTTGTCCATAAGGAAGAGTAATGCTAATGCTACCACACGTGTAAAATCACAGGATTCATGTGCTGATGAAAATGTACCAAACTTGTCCATAAGGAAGAGTAATGCTAATGCTACCACACATGTAAAATCACAGGATTCATGTGCTGATGAAAACGTACCAAACTTGTCCATAAGGAAGAGTAATGCTAATGCTACCACACATGTAAAATCACAGGATTCATGTGCTGATGAACACATACCAAACTTGTCCATAAGGAAGAGTAATGCTAATGCTACCACACATGTAAAATCACAGGATTTATGTGCTGAGGAACACATACCAAACTTGTCCATAAGGAAGAGTAACGCTAATGCTACCACACGTGTAAAATCACAGGATTCATGTGCTGATGAAAATGTACCAAACTTGTCCATAAGGAAGAGTAATGCTAATGCTGCCACACGTGTAAAATCATAGGATTCATGTGCTGATGAAAATGTACCAAACTTGTCCATAAGGAAGAGTAATGCTAATGCTGCCACACGTGTAAAATCACAGGATTCATGTGCTGAGGAACACATACCAAACTTGTCCATAAGGAAGAGTAATGCTAATGCTACCACACATGTAAAATCATAGGATTCATGTGCTGATGAAAATGTACCAAACTTGTCCATAAGGAAGAGTAATGCTAATGCTACCACACATGTAAAATAGGATTCATGTGCTGATGAAAATGTACCAAACTTGTCCATAAGGAAGAGTAATGCTAATGCTACCACACATGTAAAATCACAGGATTCATGTGCTGATGAACACATACGAAACTTGTCCATAAGGAATAGTAACGCTAATGCTACCACACATGTAAAATCACAGGATTCATGTGCTGATGAAAATGTACGAAACTTGTCCATAAGGAAGAGTAATGCTAATGCTACCACACATGTAAAATCATAGGATTCATGTGCTGATGAACACATACCAAACTTGTCCGTAAGGAAGAGTAATGCTAATGCTACCCCACATGTAAAATCATAGGATTCATGGGCTGATGAAAATGTACCAAACTTGTCCATAAGGAAGAGTAATGCTAATGCTACCACACATGTAAAATCACAGGATTCATGTGCTGATGAACACATACCAAACTTGTCCATAAGGAAGAGTAATGCTAATGCTACCACACGTGTAAAATCACAGGATTCATGTGCTGATGAACACATACCAAACTTGTCCATAAGGAAGAGTAATGCTAATGCTACCACACGTGTAAAATCACAGGATTCATGTGCTGATGAACACATACCAAACTTGTCCATAAGGAAGAGTAATGCTAATGCTGCCACACGTGTAAAATCATAGGATTCATGTACTGATGAAAATGTACCAAACTTGTCCATAAGGAAGAGTAATGCTAATGCTGCCACACGTGTAAAATCACAGGATTCATGTGGTGAGGAACACATACCAAACTTGTTCATAAGGAAGAGTAATGCTAATGCTACCACACGTGTAAAATCACAGGATTACCAAACTTGTCCATAAAGAAGAGTAATGCTAATGCTACCACACGTGTAAAATCACAGGATTCATGTGCTGATGAACACATACCAAACTTGTCCATAAGGAAGAGTAATGCTAATGCTACCCCACATGTAAAATCACAGGATTCATGTGCTGATGAACACGTACCAAACTTGTCCATAAGGAAGAGTAATGCTAATGCTACCACACGTGTAAAATCACAGGATTCATGTGCTGATGAAAATGTACCAAACTTGTCCAGAAGGAAGAGTAACGCTAATGCTACCCCACATGTACAAGTAACCTGTGTTAAAATAGAAGCAGAGTTCACAGGGCTTAGTGGGAATCCAGAAATAGGGTTGTCTATTAACACTCTATCATCGAAGGAAAATTGTTCTTCGTCAAGATACACCATACTGTTAAGGACCATCAGAAAACATACTGGCCAGGCAACAGTGGCTCACATCTGTAATCCCAACACTTTGCGGGGACCAAGGCAGGAGAATCGCTTGAGGCCAGGAGTTTGAGGCCAGCCTGGGCAACATAACGAGACCCCATCTAAAGATATTTTTTAAAAATTAGCTGCATGCAGTAGTGCTCACCTGTAAGGCAGGAGGATCACTGGAGCCCAGGAGTTCAAGGCTGCAGTGAGCTATGATTGTGCCACTGCACTCCAGCCTGGGTAATAGAGTGAACTTGTTTCTTTAGAAAAAAAATCATAATATCTATTAGTAGGTACCAATATTACTTGGTAATTTACATTAACCACACTTTTAGAACTCTGATAATTCTACTCTTAGGAACTTAGTTCTTAAGAGAGGCTGAGCTGGCAGGATGGGTTGGTGCCACATCCAGGCAGCTACACAGGGAAGACTGCTGCAGGGCCAGGGCCCACAACACATGCACGTGTGTGGCACCAGGGGACTGATGCTGCCACCAGCCCTAGTGCCAGTAACTTGGGCTTTACTCATAGTCAGCCTCCACGAACTCACGCCATGTGTGAAGCAGCCCACTGAGTTCTCTATGTGCATTCTCTCATTTGACCTTGACCACCGCATTAAGACATCAGCTCTATCATTATTCTCACTTTTCAGAGAAGAACACTAAGGCTCAGAGAGGCCACAATTGTGCCTGAGATCCCAGAGCCAAACACTGCCATGGGATCTGAGCTGAGTCCTGCACATGCTGTCCCAGGACAGTTATGAAGACTGTATAGAAATACAAGGAAGTATTTACAAAGCTTAGTGAGAAACAGTAGGATATAACTTCATCTATGTGGAAACGTGTGGGTATGGAAGGTAGTATGCAGAAAATAAAGGCAGTTGTACTCTGGTGACAGTATCATAGACGACTGTTCACGTTTGTCTTCTATATGAATTCAAGGCCGGGTGTGTGATGCTTATTAAAACACAGCTTACTGAAATGCATTTTACATAGGATCTGGTTCTCACTGAAGCGTGCCCTCTCACCTAGAACCAAGCTCTTCCGTGGCGTCTTAGGAAGCCAGGACCCCACGTTAATGCTGACCCGCTCTGGCCTGTCCCACAGGTGGCACTGGTGTTCCCCAACAATGATCCGGCTGCCTTCATGGCGGCTTTCTACGGCTGCCTGCTGGCCGAGGTGGTCCCCGTGCCCATCGAGGTGCCGCTCACCAGGAAGGTAAGGAATGCGCCCTTTGCTCGGTTTCTCGCTGAGTGAGATGGCTTTCACGGTGGCTGTATCCCGGCTGGGTGAGGGTCTCCTCGCTGTTTCTGGGGCCCTGGGTTTCCTTCGGTTGCCTCGATAAGGGATGCGGTCGCTAGTGGGCCCTGCAGCCTGGGATGGGCGTCCTGGAGGTGGAGCACAGCTTGCTTTGGGGTCAAACGTGGATCAGCAGCCTCTTGGTCAGTAAAGCAAGGGTGTTTGAGAATCTTGTTCCTTGGTGTCATGTGCACTAGAATTGGGGTAAATGATAGTTTTTTTTTAATTATTATTTTGAAGGGTGGTGGATGCTGCTTTTGTTCAGGTGTTTTGACATCCAGTCCAAGGTTGACCTATGATTTGTCAGGTTTTATTCTATAATGAAAATAAGCTACTAAACTTGCCATTGTAATTATTGTTTAATCCAATGTAAAGAAATTAATGTGCGTTGTCAATCAAAAAGTATTTGAGACAGGTTTCAATTTAGAATTTTATTTTGCCAAGGTTGAGGACGTGGCCATGCCACAGCCTCAGGAGGTCCTGAGAACGTGTGCCCAGGGTGGTCCGGCTGCAGCTTTTGGGTTCGTACATTTTAGGGACACATGAGACATTAGGCAATACATGTAAGACATATGTTCATTTGGTCTAGAAAGGTGGGACAGCTTGAAGCCGCAGTGGGGGCCTTCCAGGTCACAGGTGGATTCTAAGATTTTCTGATTGGCAGTTGGTTGAAAGAGTTTATCTAAAGCCCTGAAATCAATAGAAGCCAGTGTCTTAGGGTTCGGGGTTGTGGAGACCAAGGATTTTATTATGTGGAGGAAGCCTCCAGGCAGCAGGCTTCAGAGAGAATAGGTGTAAATGGTTCTTATCAGACTTAAAAATGTGCCAGACTCTTAGTTAATTCTCCCCTGGATCAGGAAAAGGACCTGGAAAGGGAAGGAGATTGTCTACAGAATGTAGATTTTCCCCACAAGAGAGAGCTTTATAGGGCTATTTCAAACTATGTCAAAGAAATATATTTTGAGGTAAAATACTTCGATTTCTTTCAGGGCCTGCTATTTGTCATGTTGGTATCTTATTGCTCCAGAGAGTCAGCTTTGTCAGTCTGGAGGTGTCTGTTTTAATGCCATTGCTGGTCAACTGTGTCTGAATTTCAAACAGAGGATGAGGGAGTAAGGGGGGCATGTCCGACCCCTCCTTCCCATCATGGCTGAACTGGTTTTTCAGGTTAACTTTGGAATGTCCTTGGCTGAGGGAAGAGGTCTCTTCAGTTGGTTGAGGGGCTTAGAATTTTATTTTTGGCTTACGCTCATACCAATGTAAGGTTTTAGTCCATGTGGATGGTTTGTTCTTCTGTAAAGCAGTTACGGTAACTGTAAGAGACATGAAGTGGGGCGGCTGCAGTGCAGGTCACGCTGCTGCTCCCTGTAGGCGGCCAGTCGTGTAGGAGGAAGCCAGCAGCACGCGCCCCAAGGGACTGCCCAGGTCTGAACCTGCAATGTGCCTGTGCACACTGCCCTTAAACCATCAGCTCCCTTCAGCACTTTTTTTTTTTTTTTTGAGATGGAGTCGCTGTGTCTCCCAGGCTGGAGTGCAGTGGCACGATTTCAGCTCACTGCAACCTCTGCCCCTCGGGTTCAAGCGATTCTCCTCCCTCAGCCTCCTGAGTAGCTGAGATTACAGGCGTGTGCCACCACACCCGGCTAATTTTTGTATTTTTAGTAGAGATGAGGTTTTGTTACGTTGGCCAGGCTGGTCTCGAACTCCTGACCTCAGGTGATCTGCCCACCTCGGCCTCCCACAGGGCTGGAATGACAGGTGTGAGCCACTGCGCCTGGCCCCTTTAGCACATCTTTAATGTGTGCACAGTGTGGGTGACTCTTCCAGCTCTAAAAGGCAACAATCACAGGTAGCCCAGGCAAAGAAACTTCAGCTGTCTTTGTGGCTACTCCAGCATTAAAGTTTGTTGACTCAATATTTAAGAAAACCATCTGCCACGTGGGTATCTCTTCAGAGTCTGTGCCAGTTACATGGTTGCATTTCAAACTTCCCCTTGGATGGGAAGGGAGAGAACACGGGGTTCCTTTTGGAAACAGGAAAGATGATTGCTATTTTCATTTCCTATGTACAAAGCCAGGAGGTTCATGCTTGGCCTCCTGAGTATGCTCGTGTCTGGCAGAGGCAGGGGAGTCTGTGGTAGCTGCTATGGGAGAATGCCAGTTTCCCCCCCACCGGATTTGCAGCCAGTTTCCCCCCCCCCCACCGGATTTGCAGCCAGCACTCCACGTGTGCATCAGACAGCTCAGACTTCCCGTGAGGTGCTTTCTCATCCCCTGGGTCCCATGGTCTTCACAACAGGTGAGAAAAGTGGAAGGACTGGAGGACTCCAGTCATGCTTACATGACAGCCTCAGTACTATAGTTAACCCCAGTCCTGGGATCTAGTGAGGAGTTTACAAGGCTTCTCTTCAGCTGATGTTCATGTCCATGGTTAGGGGCTCTCTGGACATGCTCTGAGGTCTCTAAGCGACAGTGAAATGATGATTTGCAGGAACTTGTAGGCATGAGCATATGGTGATGGTTCAATAACCAGACACAAAACATTTATCATTGTTATTCGTAACAATTATTCTTTTCTTCACTTTAATAATTTGTATTTATCCATGTTAAAGTGTATAGCCTGGTGTCCTCCAGTCCAGGCTGGTTTGTAGAGGAAAATGATTTGGATAAAGGGGGGAGGTGGTTTTCCTGAGCATGTTGGAGTGCTGCTCTCAGGTTGGCAGAAATGCCATCCTATTATCTCAAATCCTAGGCATAGCTCCAAATACCAAGGTGGCATTTATTTCAGCCATGAAACGTTTCACTGTAACACATTTAAGATGCTTTGAAATAATGAATTAAGTACCTTTGAATGGTAGTAGAGACATAAACCGTACGTTTTGAACAAATCAGAAATCTTTCCAAGGCCACGTGGCTGGGAAGCTGTGGCAGTGATGATGGAGGAAGAGGACAGTTTTCCTCTCCCACAGGAGGACCCAACAGTCCCCCTCAGCTGAGAGCCCCTTGTACCCGAGTAGAGGCTGCACGTTCACTGTGCACAGGGCAGGGTCCACATGGGGATGAGGGGCATCTCGGGGGGACTCTCTGTGGTCCGAGGGCAGGGAGCATAGCAGGAGAACAGTGTGGGGACATTTCAGGAGGCCAGGACTTCTCACGCTGGGAGGTCCCTGGGGACTTACGTGTCAGTGACTGTAACCTGTGCATGTGATGAGGACACGGGGACAGGAAAGATCCCCTGCCTGTCCCTCACCTCCAGGACATAGGGAGGGGCCCTCTGTGGCTATGGTTTTATCACCAAGCACCAAAACCCCTCTCAGAAGAAAGGGCTGACATTCCTGTCTTGCCCTCTCTGTGCCAATATAACCCTGAGGTGACTTTGCCTACAGATGCCTCAGGCTTTGCAGAAAGCTGTGGAGAACGCACAGACCTTAACAAGGCATTTAGAAACCTTTACTGTGCCAACCAGTGGTCATGGGATAGAATGCTAGGGAAGCCACAAGTGATTTCACAGGTGAAGTACAGAGACCCTCCCCTGAGGCCGAGCCTCTCAGGTCTAAAGACACCGTGACTTGATTTTACTTTTTAAATATTATTTTAACTGACAAGTTATAATTATATACATTTATGGGGTAGAGTGTGATGTTCTGATATATGCATACGACGTGGAATGTTTATCAAACTGATTAACATATCTGTCACCTTGCTTACCTCTCATTTTTTATGGTAAGACATTTGGAATATACTCTTGGTTATTTTGAAATGTAGATTACATTTTCATTTATTATAGTTACCCTGCTCTGCAATAGATCTCAAAACCTCTTCCTCCAATCTGAGGCTTTGTCTCTTCTGACCAACATCTCCCCATGTCCTCCCTCCCCCCCATCTCCTCCCTCCCCCAACTCCTCCCTCCCCCCAACTCCTCCCTCCCCCCCAGCCCTCGTGGTCACCATTCTATTCACTGCTAAATGCCACGTGTAAATGAGCTCATGTAGCCTTGGTCTTTCTGTGCCTGGCTTATTTCCGGCAGCCTAATGTCCTGGTTCAGCATACGGCAGGCTTCCCTCCTCACTGACGGCTGAATAGTGCCCACTGTGTGGCACAGTGTCCTTCCTGTTCAGCATACGGTCACCTTCCCTCCTGTCTGAAGGCTGAATAGCGCCCACTGTGTGAGGTAATGTCCTTCGGTTCAGCACAGAGCAGGCTTCCCTCCTCCCTGAAGGCTGAATAGCGCCCACTGTGTGGCCTAGCGTCCTTCCTGTTCAGCATGTGGCAGGCTTCCCTCCTCCCTGAAGGCTGAATAGCGCCCACTGTGTGGCCTAGCGTCCTTCCGGTTCAGCATGTGGCAGGCTTCCCTCCTCCCTGAAGGCTGAATAGCGCCCACTGTGTGGCATAATGTCCTTCCTGTTCAGCATACGGTCACCTTCCCTCCTGTCTGAAGGCTGAATAGCGCCCACTATGTGACGTAATGTCCTTTGGTTCAGCACAGAGCAGGCTTCCCTCCTCCCTGAAGGCTGAATAGCGCCCACTGTGTGGCATAATGTCCTTCCGGTTCAGCACACGGCAGACTTCCCTCCTCGCTGAAGGCTGAATAGCACCCACTGTGTGATGTAATGTCCTCCTGGTTCAGCACACGGCAGGGTTCCCTCCTCGCTGAAGGCTGAATAGCACCCACTGTGTGCCATAATGTCCTTCCAGTTCAGCACAGAGCAGGCTTCCCTCCTCCCTGAAGGCTGAATAGCGCCCACTGTGTGACGTAATGTCCTTCCGGTTCAGCACAGGCCCGGCTTCCCTCCTCGCTGAAGGCTGAATAGCGCCCAGTGTGCCGGCTCTGCCTGCTCTGCATCCATTCGTGGGTCTTTGGGCACTGTGGTTGATTTGTCTTCTTGACCCTTGTGGATAACACTCCAGTGAATGTAGGGATGCCGATAATCTGGATTCCTGATCAATTTCAGTTCCTTTGGCCCAATACCCAGTAGCAAGATTGCTGGATCATATGGTAGTTCTATATTTAGGTTTTTGAGAAATCTCCATACCATTTTCCATAATGGCTGTGCTAATTTGCATTCCCACCAATAGCGTGCAAGGGTTTTCTTTTCTCTGCATCCTCATCAACGGGTATTTTTCCTCTTTTTGATAAACACGTTGTAACCAGTGCAAGAAATGTGAGGTGATGTCTCCTTGTGGGTTGTTTTTTTTTTTTTTCCTTTTCCTTTTTCTTTTTCTTTTTTTTTCTTTTTTTTTTTTTTTTTTGAGACGGAGTCTCGCTCTGTCACCCAGGCTGGAGTGCAGTGACGCAATCTCTGCTCACTGCAACCTCCGCTTCCCGGGTTCAAGCTATTCTCCTGCCTCAGCCTCCTGAGTAGCTGGGATTACAGGCGCGTACCATGGCACCTGGCTAATCTTTATATTTTTAGTAGAGATTGGGGTTTAGCCATGCTGGCCAGGCTGGTCTTGAACTCCTGACCTCCACTGATCTGCCTGCCGTGGCCACCCAAAGTGCTGGGATTACAGGCCTGAGCCATCGCGCCTGGCTTCCCTGTGGTTTTAATTTGCGTTTCCCTGATGATTAGTGATGTGGAGCACCTTTTCATGGACCTGTTGGCCATTTGGGTGCCATCCTTTCAGAAGTGTGCCTTTAGAAAGTAGCAGCTTATTGGTCTTAGAGAACTTTTCTTATTTTTAACTGAAAGAATCTGTTGGCTATGGTGCAAGTCAAAGTGAGGTCAGATGAGCATATTCGTGTAGTTAAGTATGTGAATCCTAATATTGCTTCCATCTGCCAGTCCTACAGCCGCTAGAAGTGTCTTCGAATAAAGACCCTGATGAGAACCTAGTTTTCTGAATGCATCCTGGGAGGATTCTTTTTATTCACTTTCCTGAGATGTAGCACCTGTTTCCCGGAGTTGGCCTCAGATCCAGCCAGACTGAGGCCGACGCCACCTTTCCAAGGACAGAGGACTGAGGCCTGTGAGTCAGGAAAGCCACTAGTCCAGGTGCAGCCGGGTCCCGTCCTTGGGTCACCGGCAGAGGTCGTGAGGCCCACTGAGGACCCGCAGCCCTTTGCTTCAGGTGCTGTGTGCAGGGTCCATCTGTCTGGTCCCTTTCTTTGTTGAGTGTGTGTGCGCGCCTGTGTGTGGGCACGTGTGTGTGAGTGTTGAGTGTCTGTGTATTGTGTGGGGACGTGTGTGTGCGTGGGCGTGTGTGTGTGTGTGCGCTGAGTGTGCGCATCCGCGTGTGTGCATGGGCGCGTGTGAGAGTGTTAAGTGTGTGTGTGTGTATGTGAGTGTGTGCGCGTGTGTACCTGGGCGCGTGTGTACCTGGGCACGTATGTGTGTTGAAGACTCCACTGGGCTGCCTCCCACATGGGTGTGTAGGGTGAGACATGGTTAAGTGCTGTTCTGAGCACACTGGCCAGGGCTGGGCAGAGCTGTGCTGAGGGCTGGCGTCTGACGGGGCCGCGGGGGGCACTCTACACGTGCGGAGGAGCAGCAGGCCCAGCCTCACCTTGGCTGAATAGCAGCCGCATCCTCCCAGGCCTGCTGCTCCTGTGGTTTTCAGTCTCTTCCTTATTTTTTGGGATCTTCTTATGTGTATGATTTTATCATTTGGGGGATTAAATCACGGGCGGACACTACCAGGGCAGGGTTTAGCGAAAGGTTGGCTCCTGGCCTGAGGTCAGCATTCCACCCACAGCCATGAGCGACTGGCCTCAGCCGTTCCTCCGTCTTGTGACAGTCACGCGTGTTCTCCTGCCTCGGCCCGGCACTTCCTGGCTCAGCAGAGCCGCCTTCCTGCTGCAGAAGCTGATGTCGCCCCACCTCTGCCCCTCACCTGTGTCCCTTCAAGAGTCGGGACGTTTGCTAATGTGATGTTCAGATTCACATTAAAGTGACTGATTAGGGCTTTACTTGAGCAAGCAGCATCTGTGTGAAAAGCACCACAAGATGTCCCCGAAGTGGGTTCCATCTGTCCGCAGAGCTCCCGGCGGCCAGATCTTGGGGAGCTGCCCTGCATGTGCTGGTTGGCTCATTTGGCTGTTGCTCCATGAAAATTCCACAGAGAGGCGTTTTCACTGTAGATTTAAATCTACAATAAGAAAAGTACTAAACACTTAAGAGACTACAGCTTTGAAATTTTAAATCTGCCTAATTTACCCAGGTGAAAACACCACTCTTCAGCTCATGTTTTCCTGTTATCAGGGAACAGGTGGGAAGATCCACAGCCAGGCCTCTGATTACTGACAGCAACCAGGCCTTGTAGGGTCCATAATTGAGGGGTTCATGCTGAGCCATCTGGGGAGCGAAGACGGTGACTTGCTCACTACAATGTGGCATTTTTAGGTCCTGGAACCCTGGCTGTTTTGGAGCTTTCAGTTTATTTTATGAATCAAATAATGGAAAACCCACACAGCTGGCACAGCTGGTGGGCGTAGAGAGAGTGATGCGAGTGCCTTGGCTGCTCGCCCACCTGCCTTTGGGCAGCTGGACAGGAGTGACGACTGGCGTAGGTCTGTTCAGGTCTGACCTTCCCAAACCGGAGCTGGCAGCCTGGAGCCACCTGTATCTGGTGTCTCCAGTGGGGCTGCACAGCAGTGGCCTGTTTCAGCAAGCTTCAGTTAGTTCGTTGAGACTGGGCTGCTCAGGGTGAGGAGAAAGTGACCCAGGTCTTCCTTCCTCTGGCCGAGGTGCCCTGCCTGGCACCCATGACAGGTGTGCCTTTCGTGCCTTTGGTCTTTGAGTGTTTTAAAGATCAGGCACTTGGTGTTAGCATGTTAGTAGAAGTGTTTTTTCAGGCCCTGTCTATTCTCTACAGTAATTGCATTGTATAATCATAGTCTTATGGAATTGGAGAGAGCTATAACAGCAGGCTCTTAACGCGACCCGCTGAACGCCAGCCTGCACTGAGCACTTTCCACACCCTCTTCTAATTTATCCCTCAACAAACCTGGGAGACAGCTGTTCTTTCTATACCTGTTTTACACGTGAGGACACTGAGGCCATGCAGTCTCACCTGTTCAGGGTCCCACAGATACCAAGCAGCAGGGCTGGGGGTTGGATCCTGGTTCTGCAGACTCGAGGGTCTGTGTGAACGCTGGAGGGAGGGCCGAAGGCTGGGCGGAGTGGGGCAGGTCGTGGATTCTCAACTCCTCTCTGTTGCCCTCTCAGGACGCAGGGAGCCAGCAGATAGGTTTCTTGCTTGGAAGCTGTGGAGTTACTGTAGCCTTGACTAGTGACGCCTGCCATAAAGGACTTCCAAAAAGCCCAACGGGAGAGATCCCACAGTTTAAAGGTAAGCCACCGAGCCTCCGAGAGCTCGCATGCCCACGTCCTTTGTCAGAAGACGGGTGCGGGAATACGTCACCCCGCCTCGGTTTCAATCCTCTGTGGAATGAAACGTCAGTCACAGACCCACGAGTTTTCACGCGTTCTCGTCCCTGATGACACAGCCGAGTTGCCAGCCCGTGGGGTGACGTGAGGTAACGCATGGTGGCGGCTTGGGTGCTCTTCTGTTGATGTCTTAGATCTCGTGAAGTCCGGAGACACCAGAGATTCGATCTAGTTGACGTGTTTGAAAGGGTACCACATAAATGGGGAGAAATTCTACAGACCGACTTTCAGAGTAACATTTAAAAGGAACTTGTTGTTTATTTCCAAGGTTGGCCAAAGCTGCTGTGGTTTGTCACAGAGTCTAAACATCTCTCCAAACCGCCCCGAGACTGGTTCCCACACATTAAAGATGCCAATAACGACACTGCGTATATTGAGGTGAGTCAGCCTTGGCCTCCTCCACTGGCCCTGAGTGTGGCCTTGGCACTAACGTGTGTTTCTGACGGTTACACGAGTGCCAAAATTCAGGGACTTGGAGAACCTCAAGTAACCAGAAAAACTGCCGTGACCTGTCAGCCCCACTTCCCTCACGCTTTGTCTCGTTTCAGTACAAGACGTGTAAGGATGGCAGTGTGCTGGGTGTGACGGTGACGAGGACTGCGCTGCTGACACACTGCCAGGCCCTGACGCAGGCGTGTGGCTACACGGAAGGTGGGGTGCCAGACCCTGACTCCTTGGGACCCTGGTTCTAACCGGGACACCTGACACGAAGGCCACATCACTCCCACGAGGAGCCATAGAAATAGCGTGAAGTTTGTGCCCAGCTCCGCTGACATGAACTTATTGTTGAGTTAGGATATCAGCTCAGCCTACCATAGCAAATACTACAGACTGGGCGGCTTCAACAGCAGACATTTATGTCCGCACAGCGCGGAGGTCTGAGGTCAGCGTGTCCTTGGGCAGTTCCCAGTGGGGGTCTCTTCCAGGTTTCTCGTAGGAGGTGTGAGAAGATGTGCAGTTAGGAACCCATCCCTACCACCCCACTGAATGCAAAGGACCTCCTGAAAGGTGCGCTCTCCACACAGCCACGCCGGGGCCTGGGCTTCAGCATGTGGATCTGGGGAGACGCTGTTAACGCCGTGGAGCTTCATCCCTGGGTGCACATGAGCATATCTTTAGTTGTAAAGAAAACGCCTGTGTGTCCACCCACCCTCCCAATTGAGTCAGAGTCTCTGCATTGGTGCTCGTGATGTGTTTTCCTTCCCCCGGGTGGGCTGGTATGGGAGGCAAAGAGGGGAAGTGAGTGGAGGGAACTTGAGTGGAGGGAACTGTGGCAACCACACTGAAATGGCACAGAGAGGGGAGGGTGCGACCCCGGGGACCCCAGAGACTCCCCCCATTGGTGGCCTGAGTCCTGCTGATATCCCCTGAAACCTCCTGAGATGTTCTGAGACGTTGTGATGTACCCTGAGGCCCTTTGAGACCCCTTGAGAACCCCCATGCCCCTGAGATCCCTTGGGATGCCCTGAGGCCCTTTGAGACCCCAGAGAACCCCCATGCCCCTGAGATCCCTTGGGATGCCCCAAGGCCCCTTGAGACCTCAGAGAACCCCCAGAGAACCCCCATGCCCCTGAGATCCCTTGGGATGGCCCGAGGCCCCTTGAGACCCCAGAGAACCCCCAGAGAATCCCCGTGGCCCTGAGATCCCTTGGGATGCCCCGAGGCCCCTTGAGACTCCAGAGAACCCCCCCATGTCCCTGAGATCCCTTAGGATGCCCCAAGGCCCCTTGAGACCCCCTCCGGAGACCCCCTGAGGCTCCCTGACATCCCCTTGACCAGGCTCCTGACAGGGCACCGCTGCGGCGTGCACCCCTGCCTGGCGTCTCTTTCTGGAACTTCACGAAGCCGTGGTGGCATCTGCCGCTCCGCTGTGGAATGAAACACTTTTCTTTTTCTACTATTTTTATTATCTGCCCATCCTCATAATCTCCCTTTTAAAAACAGCGTGTGTGTCTCGTGGGTATTCTGATGTTTGGCCATGGAGTTTTCACACCTGGGGACGCACTGCCCCCTGCGCCTCCAAGGTCCAGGGTGGTCACGCTTGTGGAGGTTGGGGAGGGAATGATACGTTCGCTCTTTACTTCACTACTTTCAAAAGGAACTTAGGTTGTTTACTTTTGGCCATTTATTGTGAAAGCCTCCTGTCTATTATCCTCCACACTTTAGCCTTTGGAAGGGGAGGTGAGACTGAGTCACCTGCAGGCAGCTGCTGACCTTGGCTGGCCAGGTGACTTCGGGAGAAAGCTAGGTCTGTTCAGGGCCAGCATGCTCTGTGATGGTAAACCTCATCAAGCACGAGCTTTTAGCACCTTTTTAGAGCCCTCCCCCATAGTCATTGAATAGATTGTCCTCCCCGTCTTCCAAATTGCAGTGCCTCCTTTTTTTATTGCAGCTCCAACCTTGGAGACTTGCAGTAGAGCTGTGTAGGCCCCTGTGTTGCCAAAAATCCACTTCCTCCTCTGTGCGCAGAGGGCATGCCAGCTGCAAAGCTTCCTTTCCTGGGAGACTCATGAGGAAGTGAAAAGAAATCTTTTAAAGAAAAAGGCAGAGAGGGGGAAATATATAAAAGGAGAAGGAACGCTGCGTTTTAAGGTGCAGTGTGGAGAGCTAACGCTGCTCACTCATGTGTCAGGATATCTGTCGAGAAACTCCAGGGTGGCCGGCACTCAAACCGGCCTACTTGGAGTCTACAGAATTTCCACCAAGATACGGCAAAATGATATTTTCCCAAGATCTGTTATTTCCCCTGATGCAATATTGGATTTTGTTTGCATTTTGATCTGTTGCCGCCCTGTCCTAAGTAAAAATCTCCTGACTCCCTCTGTTGTGCAGCTGAAACCATTGTGAATGTGCTGGATTTCAAGAAGGACGTCGGGCTCTGGCATGGCATCCTGACAGTAAGTGAGGTCCCCCCGGCCGTGTCTGTCCACAAAGGAGTCCCCCACCCTGCCCTGCCTGTCCACACAGGAGTCCCCCTCCCCATACTGTCTGTCCACACAGGAGTCCCCTCCCCACACTGTCTGTCCACACAGGAGTCTCCCTCCCACCCTGCCTGTCCACACAGGAGTCGCCCCCCACCCCGCCCTGCCTGTCCACACAGGAGTCCCCTCCCCTCACTGTCTGTCCACACAGGAGTCGCCCCCCCGCCGCCCGCACTGCCTGTCCACACAGGAGTCCCCTCCCCTCACTGTCTGTCCACACAGGAGTGTGCTGGGTGTAGGAATACAAATGCCTAGATTTGCCTACGTTTCACTTGTGCAAGCTGCTTCCTGCCACACTGTGAAGCAGAAAATCGTCACTGTTAGAAGACCGAGGTTGTCCACTAACGTGGTTCACAACTGCACCACAAAGCCAGTTGTGTCAGCAGCCACTGGTGTGAGGGTCTTGGACACGTGGATTGAGGTTACAGCTGCCGAAAACAGCCTTCCAGGGCTCACGTGGAGATCATTATCTTTCTTCCCGCACTTTTGGCATTCAGTATCTTAGAATAACGTCAAAGGTTGGTTCGTGTGTGGGCTACTGTCCCGTACATCTGGTTAGCTGGATGTTTCTGTTTGTTGAGTCGGTGGGGCCTGCTATTGTGTTACTCTGCGGGGGAAAGTAGTTTCCAGATTTGCCCTTGAGGATGGCAGTCTGTGTGTGTTGTAGGGAAACGACTGTCTCACAGTCACGAGTGCCCTGGATGACGTGCCGGGCTTGGGCACTTTTCGTGGGGAAGTAGCCTTGTTATTTGTTTAAGGTGGGCCTGGCCCTTAAAAGCTACGTGGAGCATGACTGCTTAGACGCTCCCCCCATCTGTTTCATATGTGGTAATTTTCACTCATTTTTCTTTTGAATAATTTCTTACGCTGAAGCTTCTTACCTTTTGGAGGTAGAAAATTCTAGGAGTTGTCACATGAGTGATGGGCATATGAATACAGGAATTCCTGTATTCGCCGTTTCTTGGCGAACCAGAATTCATGTGAAGAGGAGCCGGCAAGCATTTCCTAGACCAAATATCTGTGGCTGCAGAGCAGCCCGGCTGGCTTCTTTCCGTGTTACACACAGGTCGTCTCTCAAGTCTGGATGCTGTTGGGGGATAAGATGGAGCAGCGTGTTCCCAGCACCACTGTGTGCTGGTGCAGTGGGGAGCCCCTGCTTTGGGATTGAAGGACCTGGGATAAGATGGAGCAGCTTGTTCCCAGCACCGTTATGTGCTGGTGCAGTGGGAGCCCCTGCTTTGGGATTGGAGGACCTGGGCTTGTGTCTCAGCCTTTCCTTTCTTAGCTTTGTGACTCAGGCATGTCAGACGTGCGTCCAAGTCCCTTCTCAAATCCAAACCTCAGTTTTTCTGTCTGTGAATGGAACGACGATCCTATTTGACGTGGCCGGTGTGAGAATTCTGTGGCCTAAAGTTGAAGCACTCACTCCACCTACACGTTTGACGCATGTGATTCAATGATCAGGTCCCAAAGAACAGACAGCTACATCACTGGTGCCGTTAGTCACTCTCGTCATTAGAACACCCAACTTTCCGGCTGTGACGTTGTCCACACAGCCCTGCTTTCG
Organism: Homo sapiens; assembly: GCF_000001405.40. Classification (NCBI taxonomy): domain Eukaryota; kingdom Metazoa; phylum Chordata; class Mammalia; order Primates; family Hominidae; genus Homo; species Homo sapiens. The sequence continues at coordinate 386,093 of NC_000010.11, read as the reverse complement.
AGGCCTCGTCGCGGGGCCGCCTCTCTGAGGAGCTCCCGCTGGTGGTGCCAGCCTGCCTGCTCCGTGCTCCGGGGTACAGCTGGCAGCCCTGGCAGGTGCGAGTCTCTCCACTGTCACATCTAAAGCGAGGTCTCTGAGCAGGCAGCAGCATCTTTTGAGACACCCTTACCTCCCCCAGCAGAGTGGCGGGGAGTCGGCAGAGCTCTGGGGAGTGAAGGCACATGCTTTTTTGCTTTCATCTGGAGCTTCCCAAATCGAGCCAGTGGCAGAGGGGTCTCTGCCCTCTCGTCTGCCCCCACCCCGTAGCCTACAAGACTGCAAGAATCCTAGCCCGCCACACAGCCTGCCAGGTGGTGCCTGGTCTGACTGCTGCGGTGTGAGGCAGGTGTGTTGCTGCCGCCCCTGTAGGTGTGAGTCCCAGCCTCTGTGTGCAGCAGCGTGCAGGTACTAGCCAGTGTTTCCCAGTTTATTTTTGTCAGAAGTAGTAATCTGCCGCAGCAAGGCCCGGCCAGAGCCAGAATCCGAGCTTCCCCTAGCCCTGCGATTCAGAGCAGTGTGCGGTTCTCAAGATGGGTTCTGTGAAATAAAAGTTAGCATAACACACCGGGAAGAATTAGGCTTTGAGGATACGAAAGGCTGTTGAAAATGACGATCTGTTTCACCAAAGGTTTCGTCTTAAAAAGATTTGGACTTAAATTACTTAATTCTGTCAGGAGTAGTTTAGGGAAAGCAGTGGAGTTCGAGGGAGACCTTGGGAAGTCGCTTTTCATGGACATGTTTTAAAGGATTACACCCAGACCCTACCGTGTCACATTCATGCAGACCAGCCATCCCTGCCATTCCCACACTGAGGAGCCTCCAGGGTCCTGTGCGACCGCTCCTCCTCCAGGCCTGTGCAGCCCGGTGTCCGTGGTGCTCCCTGAGAGCTGCTGATCCTCGGGTCCCGTGCAGCCTGGCGTCCACGGTGCTCCATGAGAGCTGCTTCTCCTCCCAGCCCGTGCAGCCTGGTGTCCGTGGCGCTCCCTGAGAGCTGCTTCTCCTCAGGGCCCGTGCAGCCTGGTGTCCGTGGCACTCTCTGAGACCTGCTGCTCTTCCGGGCCCTTGCAGCCTGGTGTCTGTGGTGCTCCTTGAGAACTGCTGCTCCTCCTGGCCCGTGCAGCCTGGTGTCCGCGGCGCTCCCTGAGAGCTGCTTCTCCTCCTCCTTCCCTGGGGGCCTGTGCAGTCTGGTGTCCATGGCACTCACTGAGAGCTGCTCCTCCACTATGCCCCTCTGTATTTGCCATCCCTGCCAGCCCCACCCTGAGGAGCCTCCAGGGGCCTGTGTGCATGGTGTCTGCAGCGCTCCCTGAGAGCTCCCCCCTGCCCGTGCGGCCTAGTGTCCATGCCACTGGGTGAGAGCTGCTCCTCTGCGTGCCCCTCCATGCTCACCCTGCGTGTTCCTTTGTTGATTGCAGAGCGTCATGAACATGATGCATGTGATCAGCATCCCGTACTCGCTGATGAAGGTGAACCCTCTCTCCTGGATCCAGAAGGTCTGCCAGTACAAAGGTGGGTCTCGCCGGGCGCAGTGGCTCACACCTGTAATCCCAGCGCTTTAGGAGGCCAAAGCAGGTGGATCACCTGAGGTCAGGAGTTCCAGACCACCCGGGCCAATATGGAGAAACCCCGTTTCTACTAATAATACAAAAATTAGCCAGGCCTGATGGCGCATGCCTATAATCCCAGCTACTCGGGAGGTTGAGGCAGGAGAAATCTTGAACCCAGGAGAAGGAGGTTGCGGTGAGCCAAGATCACAAAAAAAAAAAAAAAAAAAAAAAAAAAAGGTTTGTGGGGGCTGGGTGACCAGTGATTCTTCACCCTTCCCCACTACTCACAATGATCTCTCTTTTGCAATAGGGGACGATCTGACGGTGGCACATGTTAACTTATTTCTATTTTTCTTTTTAGCAAAAGTGGCGTGTGTGAAATCGAGGGATATGCATTGGGCATTAGTAGCACACAGAGATCAGAGAGACATCAACCTCTCCTCTCTGCGAATGCTGATAGTGGCGGACGGCGCGAACCCCTGTAAGTGAGGAGCGTGTGATCTCGTGAGGCAGGCGGGCTGTGGAGTCTTTTTTTTTTTTTTTTCGTGAGGCAGGCAGGCTGTGAAGTCTTTTTTATTTTTTCCCCAGGTTTCATTCTTTGCACTTTGATTTTTCTTTTTCTAATCCTTATCTTAGTAAAGAAATTGTCTTAAAATCACCAAACAGTAATCACTCACTCGGGCCAAGAGGTACGATGGCATAATAAGGACAGGCATTTGTAGACTCCACAGCCCTGGGATTCAGAGGATGTCTTGATTCTGTAGAGAAAGTTCCTTTGCTGACCCTGTTTCCCCGGCTGTAAAACGGTGCTTAAGTCATAAATTTTCATGAGGATGAAGTGAAGTAAGCCCTAAGCAGGTAATAAGGAAATATTCAAGAAATACTTGACTGCTAGTACTTTTTGGTGTATAGTAGTTTTCTTGATCAGTAAATTAATTTGTCGTTTTAAATGTAATTGCGTTATCACATCCTGTAACAAAAATACCCAGTTAAAGTAAATTAGCAGCTCCACAGAATACTATAAATACACCTTGAGAAATATTTCAGCCAACTGAAACAAGAACCTAGCTAGCATGCTTTTGTGAAAAAAGTACATAAAGCTTCAGAAGCAAAGTGAAATTAAAGGTATCTGACCACATTTATGAAACATGCAACGTTCATGTTTGTAAACTAAAGCAGCATAAACTCCTTTAATGCCTGATATACAAAAGCAGACTCATAAACAGGTTTTATAAACAGTCTTCACTTATAGAATTTCATAAATCCTGAGCTAATTTAATGAACAATTGGTTTTAACCCATAAGTACAAAACAATACATCTTGCATAAAGAAAAGTATATCTATATTTGGAGATAGTTTAGCTGATATGTTCTTGATAATTGTGCCTCGACCTCATCATTTAAATTAATAGAGAGGAAAGTTTTCTTCATTTGGTTTAGATTTACCCCTGTCTTGGAACTTCTGTACTGAAAATGGTGGAACAAGTCTCAGAAAAGTTACTAAAGTAAGTTCATCTGTCAGAAAAGGTGTCATAAATGTGGAGGTTGCATTCTTTAAATTCTTGAGTTCTGTTTGAGAATAACCACTTTCAGTGTAACATAAATAATAAATTGTATTAAATATTTTTCCACGCTGCCTAGATCCACTTGTGCCTGAATCCCACCTTCGGAACTATTTTCTATGGTGGGATTTTGTAATCAATCACAGTGCTTCAGCTGTCTGATCATTGTCCCTCTTTCACTCTAGGGTCTATTTCTTCTTGCGATGCATTTCTCAATGTCTTCCAAAGTAAAGGCCTTCGACAGGAGGTCATCTGTCCTTGTGCCAGCTCGCCAGAGGCCCTCACTGTGGCCATCCGGAGGTACTGGGTCATGTTGATTTACGTAGATAACCTAGAGACAGTCCTAATTCAGCAGCGAAGGGAGATCAGGAAATCCTAACAGTTGATGCTGAGGGTGAGGGTGAAAACGGGACCTAACCTTTCAAGATGAGTTTATTTCTGTTTTTATGTGCTGGAACAGATTCTTTTGAACAGCCTAGATTCATTCATTAAAAAACATTTATCGCTCTCTGCAGTTTCACGGTAATTCCTTAATAAGTGGAACTGTCTAGAGGCGCATGGAATCGTAATACCGTGTCCTTGGAATTTACTCCAATTTCCATGTGCGTGTACCAATCTCTGGTTTCTTCTGGGGTGGGATAGGGTCTGTTTTCATCAGCCTGCTTTTCTTGTAGTGTTACCGACTTCCATGTGCTGTGGGATTTACTGGTATATTTATTTTTTCATTGTCTGTCTCTGGTGTATAGTTGATGCCTAATACATATTTTTTGAGTGAATGAAAGTGAAATTTAAAGTAGGTAAATTCAGAGTGCACTTTGCTCTGACAATCTCATGTCATGCACCAGAAGTAAAGCCCAAACCTCTTCCTGTGTGATACGCACACACTTGACATTTTACCTAAGTGGAGCCGTCTGTGGGTTTGGGGTTTTGTTTTCATTTTCCTTGGTCAACGTAGGTGCCACTGACGGCCTAAATATGCTGTTGTAGGAGAACAGGCTCCTGCAGAGAAGTTGTGTCGGCTGTCAACGGCCCATCCAAGGCTGGTCCAGAGGGAAGGTGTGGCAAGAGAGAGGAGGTGTGGTGTGGGGCTCTTGGGGCAGCATGTCCACGGCAATACTCCCAGTGGTGGGGAAGAGAAGGACCATTCCTTTCCTGTGGGGTGAGCTCTGGAGTGTAGAGTGAGTGCAGGAGACCTGCTTGCAACAGGCTTCCCAGAGCAGTGTGTGGTTTTTAAATTATTGCAGGCAGAACTGTGGAAGGGCAGGCATTGACCAGGACACAGACAGAAATAACAAGAGCAGGACGTGTCTCCCTCCCACTGTCTTGCCTGGTGTTGCACGTGGGCACGCATGTCAGGTCGGCTGCGGCCTGCTCCCGTGCAGTGTCTGGAGGAGTGGTCTCTGGACACGGCCCACCATGGGTTACAGCAGCCCCTCTCCAGAGCCACCTCCCTGGAGCTGGCTTCAGTGGTCTTCTCTGGTGTGCCACTTTTCTGATTGGCGTGATTGGGCTCAACACACCGAAGGACCGAAAAGGATTAAAGGTACAATTTTAGCATTCCAGGTTGAATTAGAAATGACAGTGTCCTGAAAACTAGAAGCAGCCCGCAGTGTCCCCATGCCGGTTCTCCCTGCCCCTCCATCACTCAGTCTCATTAAGACTGTCTTTTTATGTCGTTATCATGCATATGATGCATATTTAAACCGTTCAGTGCTGATGCTGTAAGAAAGAATAATCTGTATAATTGGCCATTGCAGTTGGACTCCCTAATTTCCTGAGATGAATTAGGCAGCAACTCTATCTCAGTGGTGAAAATCTTTAGGAGAGAAGCCAATGCTGGTCCTTAGAACCTGTACCTTTCGTTACCCTGATGTTTAAGTTACTTTTGAATAAATTTGATGAAAGCAGCACTCGTACTTGCGTTTCCACCAACACATCCCTCTCTGCATTGTTTTCTGAATGTGTGAACAGAAGGGAAACTTCCCTCTGTGCGGGGGTTTCAGTTGTGTGCCACAGAAAGGTTGGGACAGATGCGTGTTTTTGGAAAATGAGCCAGTGCCTGTGAACTCAAGTGTATTCTGTCTTAAAACTTGAGGTGAATTTCCCATGTAGGAGTGGTCAGAGGCCAGGTTATTAAGTGAAAAACGGCTTTCGTACATTCCGTAAAGCTGTACTAAGTGAGGTCTGGCAAGGCTTCCCTGTAGGTTTTGGCATGAGAACAAAATGAATGCCTTCTTAAAGGTCGTCACGTCCAATGTGGGAGGCAGTACAGCGATCTCATTTTATTTACTCCTTATGTTTTTTAAAGAAGAAAGACAAGTGTTCGGCTGCTACATTCCCCTGTTTTGTTGCAGAGAAGGGTCTGTAGAGGACGGATTATGCCTGTTTGGATGGGTTCGAGGATGGCCGTTTCCTCTGTGTTGTGATCTAAGCATTTGTGTCCTGCGTGTTAACCATCATCCAGGGACAGCCTCTTCTGCCTGTTAACCATCATCCAGGGACAGCCTCTTCTGCGTGTTAAACATCATCCAGGGACAGCCTCTTCTGCGCATTAACCATCATCCAGGGACAGCCTCTTCTGCGCGTTAACCATCTTCCAGGGACAGCCTCTTCTGCACGTTAACCATCTTCCAGGGACAGCCTCTTCTGCGTGTTAACCATCATCCAGGGACAGCCTCTTCTGCACGTTAACCATCTTCCAGGGACAGCCTCTTCTTCGTCTTAACCATCATCCAGGGAGAGCCTCTTCTGCACGTTAACCATTTTCCAGGGACAGCCTCTTCTGTGCGTTAACCATCATCCAGGGACAGCCTCTTCTGCACGTTAACCATCTTCCAGGGACAGCCTCTTCTGCGCTTTAACCGTCTTCCAGGGACAGCCTCTTCTGCGTGTTAACCATCTTCCAGGGACAGCCTCTTCTGTGCGTTAACCATCATCCAGGGACAGCCTCTTCTGCGTGTTAACCATCTTCTAGGGACATCCTCTTCTGCACGTTAACCATCTTCCAGGGACAGCCTTTTCTGCCTGTTAACCATCATCCAGGGACAGCCTCTTCTGCACGTTAACCATCTTCCAGGGACAGCCTCTTCTGCGTGTTAACCATCTTCCAGGGACAGCCCCTGCTCCTGGTATCAAAGCAGAGACTGAACTTCCAGGTGCTGAGTTGCAGCTGGTTGGTTGCTTGGCTTTCAGTCCACTTAATTTAAAAAGGATAACGATTATCTGCAGTAGAATGCAAATAAAATTGCAGATGCATTTGCTTACTATTTGTAGAATTTTGGCCCTCTCTGGAATATGTATCACTTAGTGATTCTCTTCTGCAAAAAAGAAAACAAAAAAGTAGATAAATCAGAAGCTGAGGCACTCACAAGAAAGCCACCCAGTGGCTGCAGGTGCCAGCAGGGCCAAGCATGGACATCTGGGCTATGAGTCAGTCTTCCAGGCGTCAAGGTCCAGGGCCTTCAAGAGCCCCAGGTCTGACAGGGATGCCCACAGCCCACTGGCTGTGGAGTATCTTCATATCACTCTTGCAAGCAACATAGAATGTCTGTCATGCAAAACAGAGCATGTCGGAAAGTTCTGGGGCTCACAGGATCAATGGAACCTCCAGTATCCCGCTTGATAAATACGCAGGATGCACGGGCACTTCCGGGAGCAGCAGCAGCCCTAGTGATGGGGAAGGGGTTGGGGTGGGGTAGCGGGGCAGGGCGTACAGAAGCCAGCAGCAGCTGTCAGGGGTTGTGGGGGGGGGGGGGGGGGGCGTGGCACTCGGGAGCCAGCAGCAGCCCTGGCGATGGGTATGTGGGAGCAGGCTGGCGCCTGGGCCGCAGGTGCTGTGCCCTCTGTCAGGTTGCCCAGCGCTGCAGGCAGGTCACTGCCAGAGCTTATGCCATTGGTTCTCCCCTCACAGAAAGGCCAGTCTCCAAAAAAGAATGACCAGCACTCATTTTAGGGAGGTTGAGAGTCTTTAAAAACATGAGTCGGAGACTTTGAAGGGACAAGGGCTGGTGACTCGCCTGTCCTCACGCATGTCTGTGTCCGTGTCTTTATGCATGTCTGTGTTCACGTGTGTCTAGGCATGTCTGTTCACATGTGTCTATGCATGTCTGTTCACATCTGTGCATGTCTGTTCATTTGTGTCTTTATGCATGTCCATGGGTGTCTAGGCATGTGTGTTCACGTGTCTAGGCATGTGTTCACATGTGTCTTTATGCATGTCTGTTCACGTGTCTGTGCATATCTGTTCATGTGTGTATGCATGTCTGTTCATGTGTGCCTAGGCATATCTGTTCATGTGTGTCTTTATGCATGTCTGTGTTCGTGTGTCTTTATGCATGTCTGTTCATGTGTGTCTATGTCTGCGTTCACATGTCTGCATGTTTGTGTTCACGTGTCTGCATGTGTTCACATGTGTCTTTGTGCATGTGTGTTCACGTGTCTTTATGCATGTCTGTGTTCACATGTATGCATGTCTTTGTCTAGGCATGTTTGTGTTCACGTGTCTTTATGCATGCCTGTTCATGCATGCATGCCTTCATGTCTGTCTTCACCTGTGTATGCCTGTTTTCGTGTTTGTGTTGATGTGTGTGCCTTCATGTGTGTCTGTTTTCACCTTCGTGTTCATGTGTGTCAGCCAAGTGGTGGCAGGAAATCACGTTCTCTAGTGAAGTCTGCTCAGTCTTGCTACGTGAACTGTATTTTCACCTAGGCATTTAAAGTATTTTTTTCTCTTTAAAACTGTCACTGTCCTGTTATATTTTGTGTTTTCTTTTCTCCCGATGTTAGTTTTAGAGTAGAAAAATATTGGGGAAATAGGGGCTTGTGGTGCCTAAACTCATCAGACATTTTTTAAAGGACAAATTGCAAGGCGAAAACCAGGAAACTGTTTCCTGGCTACAAGTATCCCCTAAATCTCCTGCCATCTGACTCTGTTACCATCTCTAGAATGTAGATGATAGACTTGATTTTCTTAAAGCTACGTTGTGAAATGTTTATTGAACTGAAAAACATAATTTTTAGCTTTGTAACTACAAAGTACTATTTGGATACCCTGATATTTTAGTAATGAAAATGCAAAAATCATATAAAACAATGAAACAATAATTCCAGAAAAGATAAAATACCCCCTTGTCACCACAACCATCTTCTAGTTTTTGAAAGTATCCAAGCTCGAAGTTAGCTGGGAGAAAAATCAAAGAAGACGTGTCCGCAGGGAGAAGGGTGCTGTCTGATGCCCACTGGGTGCTGATGGTGCCTGGATGAGTGACAGCGGAGAAAACGTCAGCACAGCCCTGAGCCAAAGTGGATCCGAAGTGAGCACTTCCCACTGCTCGGAAAAGTCAGACCCAGAGTTCCATAATCCCGCATGTAAGAGAACGCAAGATAAACTGTGTCATTTTATCTAAAAAGAGGGATAAAATTTTGCAATTCTCTAACTACAGAGTAGTTTCGAGATGAAAATCACGTGACCCAGACCATGAGAGTTAGGTAGCATCGAATAGCAAACCAAGTTTCCTGTTTAATTTCACCCAACCACGTGCGTTTTACAGTGTGTTCTGTTTTGTGGTGAATTAGATGATGAGAAGTTGGTTTTGGCAAAGGAGGTGCAGCGGGAAGATGGCAGAGGAGGGGCCTCCCCACGGGGTCCCCCCCAGTTCCAGCCCATAACCTCCCCTGGAAATAGAAAGGTGGCCAAGGCTTATGAGAAAGAGTTTGTAAAAAAGTTTATATAGTGTGATCCCGTTTTTGGTAACAAAAAATTAAGTATCTGTAAATAGTATATTCAGTGCAAAAAAAAAAAAAAAACTGCGCTGCACAGGGTGGGTGAGGCAGTAAAGATGGGCAGCTCACTTTCCGTGCTGTGCAGCTTGTAAAATGGGCTGTTTTTAGTGGGCATGCATTGCTCCTGTTAGAGAAAAGGAAGAATATTACATTAAATCAACTCATAACTTAATATATTGGCTGCTTTTACATTGTATCTTTTCCTATTAAAAATCGCAATCTCACTTATCTGTTGTGTTTTTGAAAGTCTGTGTCACGCTAAACATCGAAAAAGGTACATGCACATTTTTCACTGAATTTCCCCTCGCGGTGCGTGTTTCCTGAAAATATTATTTCTGCTGAAATGAGTTCACAAGCTTAACTGCTCCTGTCCTTTAAAGGGCATTTTTACCAGTACTGTGAATTTATTAGTTCATTCTGCTGCTGTGAAAAAGAGTGGCCCAGAGAGGAAAGAAAGCAGAGGAGATGTTCTGTGTTCTGTGTGCGTTGTGTGGCTGCCCCGGCACCTTCATCAGGGCTGATTTACGTCCATCTAAAAGAGAAACCTTTGGTGGTGAATGGTGATTCAAGACCAGAGTAGCTGCCCTGTTTAAAAAAAAAAAAAAAAAGACACTTCCTCGGGGTTCTGGCTGCCAGTTCAGAAGGGAAGACCCCCCCTCCCAACCCCACTCTCAAACAGGCTTCCTGGTAACTTCGCATTTTGTCTGGAACCGGAATGCGTGTTCCCAAAGAAGCAACGTTGTGCAGGTGCTTCGACGCCAGCACAGGGAACGTCGTGTGTGGGATGAGCACCACCTCATTCTTGCTCTGTGCCGGCTCCGTCGGGGGCCGAGGTGGGCCTGGGTCCTTCTCCCTGCCGGCTCCGTCGGGGGCCGAGGTGGGCCTGGGTCCTTCTCCCTGCCGGCTCTGTCGGGGGCCGAGGTCGGCCTGGGTCCCCATCTCGCTGCTCTCGCGCCTGCTTTGTCATGTGGGCAGGGCTTCACCTTGAGGATTCCTCGTCTGTAGATGAGAATCACAGCAGTTAGCTACGTCAGAGGCCCGTGTGAGCATTGAGTGGGTTCATACACACACAGAGCTTGAAAGCACGCCTGGTACATAGTAAGAATTCAACAAATGTTACCGCCGTTACATGACTGCAGGCGTGTTTTGTGTGTGGTCCGTTGCATAGAAATGCTGTGTAAAGATTGCTGGGGAGGAGGGGCCTGCAGCTTAACTCTTTCTTCTCTAAATGTGCCGTTGTTGCTAAGCTGAGGAATACTACATTGGAGATCGCCCGTATAAGATAAAAAAAATGAAAGACCTTGTTGACTCACTTGCTTAAGGGATTCAGCAAATGATGAGCGGCACTGAAGCTGTGCAGGTGCAGTGTGGCTCTCTGTTAAGCCCTAGAACTGGAGGCTGTGAGGCTTGTTCACTACTTGATGTGTTTGTTTTGTGTGAATGTCCCAAGCCTGGCCTGGCTCTGCTTGTGGTCAGGAGTAGCAAACTGCAGATGTGTTCATGAAATTTATAGGAGCTGCTACTTCAAGGTGTTATGCGGGCAAGGCTTATGGAATGCTTTCCAGAGGCTGGAAATGCTATGACAAGTCAGTGGTGCAAATGGTTCAATGGAAGCCATAGTGTACATTCCTCGTGAGGCCACATTGCAAGGTCTGGCCTGCTTCTTTCCTTTTTGTTGGTGTGTTTGCATTGTTATAAAGGAATGTGTGAGACTGGGTAATCTATAAGGAAAAGAGGTTTATTTTGGCTCACAGTTCTGTAGGCTGTAAGAGAAGCATGGCTCCAGCATCTACTCAGCTCCTGGTGAGGCCTCAGGAAGCTTATGATCATGGCAGAAGGCAAAGTGGGAGCCTGCATGTCACATGGTGAGAGATTGAGCGAGCAAGAGAGAGAGAGAGGAGGTGCCCAGCTCTATTCTAAACAACTAGATCCCACGTGAACTCATAAAGTGAGAACTCTCGTGTTACTGCGAGAACAGGCCCACCTGCATTGTTGGACGTCACATTTCAACGTGAGATCTGCAGGCAACAAAACATCCAGACTCTGTTGTCCTTTAGTTTTATTTTGTTTCCCTTTTGCACGTCATCGTGGTATTGTATACACAGGTACGTATTTTGCTCCTTCCATATCTCCAAGAGAGGACTCTGCCTCCTTACATTCCTGGAGATCACTGAGATGGTCCCTCCTGGAATCCATATTCTTCATGAGACACACAAAGCTGTTTGGTCTTGAACACCATTTCACATGGGAACTGAGTTTGGAAGTTGATGAATGGGCGGATACCTTTATTAGCCATTTTTTAATGTACTGATATTGATTATTAAGGTGGATGTTTTTTAAACCCCCTCGAATTCTGCCTATGGGGACTGTTTCTTCCCTTCCTCACCTCATCTACCTACTTGGGATTTTTACTTCTTAGCAAGGTGTTGATGGAGATAAATATCATCTAAGTTTCTCAATAATACAGGGAACACAAATTGGACCAACAAATGGTGTTTTACTGAACAAATTGGGAAGCATTTTAAGTGTTGGCAAGAGTGCAGAGATGGGCACTGCTGAGCAGCTTGGCGCTGTGGTCAGATGCACAGATTCTGAAGCCAGACTGAGATTGGCGCTGGCTCCACTCCACAGCAGTGGCTTTGGGTAGCACTCAGCCCTCCTCGCCCCTGCCCCTGTCTGCTAAACAGGGAGGGTCATGGTGCTGCACCCATCTCCACAGGGTTGCTGTGCAGAATAGGTCATTAAATATATAACCACAACACAATACAGCCAGTGTGAGGTGCTTTTCTAGTAGATGAGAAAATAATACTCCTGTTCTGTTAGTGGGAATGCAAAGTATGTTATTTTGGGAGGATATTTAGGTCTTCTTAAAAATTTAAGTATATGTGCTTTGTGATGCTCCATTTTCTTTCTAGGTATGTATATTACAGATACATTTCCAGCTGTATAAAAATTGAATGAAAGAAAATATATGATCTTATATTTGTATTACTAAACACTGTGTGTAACAAACCAGCTGAATTCAGTGGTGCACACACCTACACAGATGCACACCCACACACAGACACATGGAAAGATCTGCAGATATGTTTAGTGAAGAGAGTGAGTTTTAGAATGTTGGGGTGATCAGATCCAACACCAGGTTGTTGGGGTGACAAAGTATGGTGGAGTCAAAGGAATGAGAAAAGACAGTTTGAGAGAGAAATTGGATCCGGGGGGCTATTGCGAGTATGGAGGCTGCGAAGGCCCTGAGCTCTGGAAGCCCAGACTATTTATTGGTGATCAAACAAAGAAACAGGTGTTGAGAATGTGGGGCTTGAAAGGGCAAGCGCATGATCTTACAGCTGTGACGGTTTAGCATTTTCTTTGAAGCATGTGGAACATATTCTGCTTGAGATAATGGAGAGCAGGTTCTTTTAACTCAGGATACAATCGACCCTGGGAGAGCAAGGAGCCAGCAAGTCTAGACACATTCCAGAGCCACAAGCCCTGGATTCTATCCAAGCCACGAGGGATTTTATGCCCTGGGCTTAGTTTATGGTGTGTCAGGGCAGCCTTCCACCCTTTAGCACAGAGCTTGGTGTTCCAAAGACCACAAGGGGTTTTAGACCGTGGACCCCAGACATGTTCTGAGACTCTTACATTATGTCAGACCTGCAAGCCCTGCCGCAGCTTCTCCCAACACTCAGCTTTTCTGCCAACATAGAATAAGCATCATCTTGATTCTGCTTTTCTTTTAAAAATCAATGTATTGGTATACATACATATTTTATACTTAACTGCATATCTAGGAGTCTAAACTTTGACATTAAAAAATCTGTATGTGGTTATTTGTGGGGCATAGGATTGGAGCAGAAACAGGGACTTTGCCTTTTGACTGTGATGTTTGCCTTGTTCATACTAAGAATGTGCTGACGTTGGTTGTGCTGTTTGCTTCTAAGTTTTTATAAAAAGAAGAGAGCAGTAGACTGATTCACTCAGTGTCCTGGGATCAGAGGCAAAGACCAGGGAGGGGCGGGCACTCAGGTCAGCAGGGGCTATGCTCTGGGTCTGAGTCCTGCCGAGCCCCACCACCCACTTGGGCAGTGAAGTCAACCTTTCTGTGCCCGAATCTTCTCATCTGAAAGTGAGGAATAATAGCCATAGGCTTATGGTGAGTTTTAAGCGAGTCCCTATGCATGAAAGAGTCAGAACCATTTGGCACACGGAGGGTACCCCTGGGGCACTGGTTTGCCATCTGGAGGGGGAGGCATCAGCACCACCAGGTCAGAAGTTAAGGGGTGGCCCCAAACACCACGTCTGTGGGGAGGTGGGGCTGTGAGGCTGCCAGTGTGTCAGGAGTACCCGCGCTTCTGTGCCTGCCTGTGTGCCGGGAGCTCCCGCGCTTCTGTGCCCACCTGTGTGTCGGGAGCACCCGTGCTTCTGTGCCCGCCTGTGTGTTGGGACCTCCTGCGCTTCTGTGCCTGGCTGTGTGTCGGGACCTCCTGCGCTTCTGTGCCTGGCTGTATGCCAGTGTCTTGCACATCTGCAAGGAAAGAATCCCGGGGCCGTGCGTTTTCTCCGACTAGCAAGGGAATCTATCAAATATGAATAAATGTACAGTGGAAGGTTAAATTAATGAAGGTTAACGTGGCTAATATGAACATATTCAGCCTCCTGGAACTATCATTGTATAAGCATAACTGAAAAGTTCCTATAGCAAACACAATTTGTAATCTTAACATATTCAATTATTAAATGTGCAGGTCTTATTTCTCGTTAACTGTGTTTAAACATAGAAAAGAGGATCTTGGCCAGGCACAGTAGCTCACGCCTGTAATTCCAACACCTTGGGAAGCCGAGGAGGGCAGATCACTCGAGGTCAGGAGTTCGAGGCCAGCCTGGCCCACATGGTGAAACCCCGTCTCTACTAATAGCAAAAAAATTAACTGGCTGTGGTGGCGGCGCCTGTAGTCCCAGCTATTCAGGAGGCTGAGGCAGGAGAATGGCTTGAATCCGGGAGGCAGAGGTTGCAGCGAGCCAAGATCACGCCATTGCACTGCAGCCTGGGTGACAGAGTGAAACTGTGTCTCAAAAAAAAAAAAAAAAAAAGGAAAGGGGGTTTTTGTGATTGAGACAATAAAACATACGTTTTTGGGCCCTGAGATAACTTTTTCCCTTCCGGCCCTTGCCCGGCAGGTCAGTGTTCTCAATCTTGGCTAGCCTAGCATTTTGCTTTCATGTGGCTTTTAAAAACAAAAATAAGTGTACCTTAAATTTTTATCACTAAGATAGCGTATTCCGGCTCTCGTAACAAAGTACCACACACTGAGTGGTTTAAACAACAGAAACTTGTCTCACTTCTGGAGGCTGGAGTTGGAGACCCCAAGGTGTCACAGGGCTGGGCGTCTGGACGTGCTGAGGGGGCCCACCCCAGGCCTGACCGCAGCCTCCCTCGGGTGCTGCTCAGCTCAGCCCAGGCCTCACCCCAGCCTCCCTCGGGTGCTGCTCAGCTCAGCCCAGGCCTCACCCCAGCCTCCCTCGGGTGCTGCTCTGCTCAGCGATCCGCCCTGGGCCTCACCCCAGCCTTGGGTGCTCAGCTATCCTGGATGGGTACCTGTCACTCCAGTCTCTGCCTCCATCGTCACGTGAGCTTCTCCCTGTGTCAGGACCTCTCTTTTCTCTTACAAGGACAGAGTAATTGGATTTAGGGTCCATTCTAACCCAGTATGACCTCATCTTAACCTGGTCATAAGATGGCCCTGGCTTACGGTGGCTCAACTTCAATTTCCGCCTTTACAATGGGTTTATCAAGTTGTAAGTCCAGGGGCATCTGTGTCTGAACAGCCCCTGCATCCAAATAAGCTCACAGATACAAGGGGTGATCTTTTGCGGGGACACGATTCAACCCACAGCAGATGCTGAAGCTCACAGTGCCTGACTTCCACGCTGATCTTTGTAGAGGACTCTTGTAGGGTGAGGGGATGGTGCAGGGTGAGGGGATGGTGCAGGGTGAGGGGATGGTGCAGGGTGAGGGGATGGTGGCAGGACCACTGACAACACCTGTGTTTTCATTTTGAAGTTTTGATTTGTTTGGGGTCTCTAGGAATTAAAGGCCAGGAGGATAATGGAAAGCCCGGGGATCTGAGCTCGCCCTATCTAGGTAGTTCCGTGTGGGTTTTCTTATTTGGGGAGACTTTTCTTTTATATCTGGTTAGCTCTATCCTTTTTGATTCTTACATCTAGAATAATTCTTTTTCCAGAGTCTTTCATGCTTTTTTCAATACACCAGTTACTTCATTCAAATGAGATCTCCTTTTCCAAATATTAACTTTTATGTTTCCCCATTTATGTCTTCAGTTTCATTATAAACCATAATATTTTAAAGTTAAACAGCTAACTTATAGTCCAGCTTTTAGGTCTGAAGTGCGTTAAAGATTTATAAATGGAAAATTACAGAAACAATGTGTACCTAAATTGTGGTGACTCACTTAGATAACCGTTGAGGAATTGTTAGTTTTCAGGAATGTAATCCGTGATCTTAGATTTTAACTTATTTGTTCGCAAATTCAGTCAGCAGCTATTCATTGCTAGACATTTTCCAGGGCTGGGATGCAGCAGTGAGCAAAACAAACTGTGGCCGCTCTTGGGAGAGTTGGGTCTGAGGGAGGAGGTCGCACAGGTAGTCAGAGGTGTGTGCTGTGGGGTGGGCACACTGGGTGGGGGGTGTTTTCTGAGGGGACAAGAAGTCCCCTGGAGACAGGGAGAGGGCCGTGTGGACGTCTGCCGGAGGAACGTCCTGGGTAGCAGCGAGAACCAGCACAGAAGCCCCAAGGCGGGAGCAAGCTGGGGTGTCCGGCAGAGGAGGTGGGGTGGGCCCCAGCGTGGTGAACGTGTGCGCAGTGGTCTTCTGAAAACTGCCTTATGCGGACCCGTCTTCTCCTGACCCACAATGCATTCTACAGCTTGCCTGCCACCCAAATAGTTTTCCTTAGAACTTGGCAGCCACAATGGCACAGCGTAAATCTTATTTTAGATTCTTATAAAATTGGGCATACGCCCAGGCAGTCTGCATCTGAATTGAGGCTGGACAGTCAGGATTTCCATCATTGCTGTTCAGTGGTTTTGTCTGCATTCTTGGAGTGGATGCACCACCCTCCAGACATTTGCAAAACTAGAAGAGCAGACCGTGGAGTGAGCAGGAGCCGGGAGGAAAGAGAGAGCTGGTCTGTGCAGGGCCTGGAGGGAGGGGAGAGAGAGCTGGTCTGTGCAGGGCCTGCATAGAGGGGGCAGGAGAGGAGCTGCGTTGGTAGTTTACGGGTGTTCTTGGGATTCCCTGGGAATGTAGAGGCGGAAGCAGTAGACTCGCTGCCAGCTGTTCATAAACAGAACGAGCATCCCCTAATGCAGCCACATGGGCAGCCAGCACTGTGCCTGGGGTGCCAGCACTGTGCCCAGAGGTGCCCAGCCTGCCGCATGTGTGCTGACTGCACATCTGTGATTGTGATGGCTTATCTGCTCCTGCATATTCAAGTTAAAAACTGTCATTACAGGCCCACGGATGACAGTAACCAGCCCCCGGGCCGGGGTGTCCTCTCCATGCATGGACTGACCTATGGGGTCATTCGTGTGGACTCGGAAGAGAAGCTGTCCGTGCTCACCGTGCAGGATGTCGGCCTCGTGATGCCTGGAGGTGAGTGTGGGTCGCGAGCTGCACAGATTAACCAGTTATTAAATGCTTTTCTAACACATGTCACCAAAGCCTGCGTTCCCACGTTCCCGCGTTCCCGTGGTGTGCCCTCAGGCTGAGAGCCTCACTCCCAGTCTTCTGAAGTCTTTGTTAGGCTTCAGACATTTGAGGCAGTGTTCCCTCTCCTGGTAGACGATCAAGAAGATGGGGAAGGGCAGCTTTGCACACTGGGACCTCAGGCTGCTCTTCCCTGGAAGGCTTCGGGGCCAGTGCAGGGTCCACACTGGTGCCTGGGCAGCTTCCCTTCCCTCCCCCAGAGGACGTGCCCATCTGTCACCCTAAGGCACTAGCCAGAGTGGGAACAGCCAAGCTCGGCTTCCGCCAAGGCAGACACATGTGAAAATCAAGGAATGTGAGTTTGTGTGACCATGAAACCTGTTTTCAGCAGTAGAGACCTTTTTCCAAGTCTCAGAAGCCTTTTCCACAGATGCATGAGGAAGCGCCCAGCTGCAGGGCCCGCCGTGCCTCCCCACCAGCCCCACGAGGAGCGCCCAGGCACCTCCCAGGAGCCGCTTTACCATTCTTAGGGTGCACACGCTTGGCGCTCAACTCATGGGGTCACAGGCAGCATCAGCCCCTGGCTGTTTGGCCCCAGAAAGGGAACCCGTCTCTTTTCTCAGCTGGGAATCCTGGAGCCTGTGTCTCCTGCTGAGCCCTCCAGGCATGGGGTGTGGGCTCAAGCCCAGCAGGGTAGCCATGCCTGTGCGAGCAGTGCTGCCGCCTTCAGCAGCAGGTGCAGGGCGCCAGGTCAGGTGGGCCTCAGCAGGGACCCTCGCCCCATGGAGTCTCACAGAGGCAGACCCCTCATGCCCCTTCATGGTGAGCTGCGCTAGGGCCAGGCACTCCAGAAGCTGTCTCGCCTTTCTGTTCGGCCTGTTTGGCATAAAAGAAATGAAGGCAGCCCGTGGCTTCCCTCCTCCTCACTACTCCCTGATTCCCTGCGGACGCCCTCCAGCATCCCCGCAGCTCTGCCTCTGCCTGCAGCCCTCTAGCCCCTGTGTCCAGCCCACTCCCTGCCTCCCAGCTGTGGCCAGGCCCCCCTGGCTCCATTTCTTTAATATTTAATTTTCAAATAAATGGAACTGCATGG
Organism: Homo sapiens; assembly: GCF_000001405.40. Classification (NCBI taxonomy): domain Eukaryota; kingdom Metazoa; phylum Chordata; class Mammalia; order Primates; family Hominidae; genus Homo; species Homo sapiens. The sequence continues at coordinate 368,346 of NC_000010.11, read as the reverse complement.
TGAAATCTTCAAAAGGTTCTGAAGGACACAATGAAAATGCTCCTTTGTGACTGTGAGAACAACCGCGGGCTTCCCAGGCCCCTGTCAGAGGCACCTGGGGCTGTGCAGCAGTGAGAGCAACCGCGGGCTTCCCGGGCCCCCGTCGGAGGCACCTGGGGCTGTGCAGCAGTGAGAGCAACCGCGGGCTTCCCGGGCCCCCGTCGGAGGCACCTGGGGCTGTGCAGCAGTGAGAGCAACCGCGGGCTTCCCGGGCCCCCGTCGGAGGCACCTGGGGCTGTGCAGCAGTGAGAGCAACCGCGGGCTTCCCGGGCCCCCGTCGGAGGCACCTGGGGCTGTGCAGCAGTGAGAGCAACCGCGGGCTTCCCGGGCCCCCGTCGGAGGCACCTGGGGCTGTGCGGCAGTGAGAGCAACCGCGGGCTTCCCGGGCCCCCGTCGGAGGCACCTGGGGCTGTGGAACAGAAGCCTGCACCCCCACCCCGTGTGTGTCCTCTGCCCTGGGTTCCGGGGTTTTCTCACGTCATGATGGAGTACTGCGTACATACGCATGTTTTATCCTGAGGGTCCTTTGTCAGCGCGTAACGAGCTCCGCGGTGTTCTCAAGGCAGCACAGTGCTACCTTGTGGGGGCACTAAGTTTATTTGAGCCCCCCCGTTTGGTGAATTTCCCTCTTTTGCTGCTGCAGTGAGTGACCCCCTCGTGTCTAATGGAAACAGTTCTAGAAGTGGGAGTTGTGTTTCAAAGAGAACTGCCGATGTGATTTTTGTGATTGTCTTTTCGAAGGTTGTGAAGCTGTACCCTGCCGAGCGGTAAGCAGCAGCACTTCTTTCTCCACTCCTTACCCACCGTGTTACCTGACTTTTGTTTTTACCAATCTGATGGGTGAAGAATCTTTCAGTGTAAATTTAATGTGAACTTTTTTTTTTTTTTTTTCTGAGACGGAGTCTCGCTGTCGCCCAGGCTGGAGTGCAGTGGCGCGATCTCGGTTCACCGCAGGCTCTGCCTCCCGGGTTCACGCCATTCTCCTGCCTCCGCCTCCCGAGGAGCTGGGACTACAGGCGCCCGCCACTGCGCCCGGCTACTTTTTTGTATTTTTAGTAGAGACGGGGTTTCACCATGTTAGCCAGGATGGTCTCGATCTCCTGACCTTGTGATCCGCCCGCCTCGGCCTCCCAAAGTACTGGGATTACAGGCGTGAGCCACCGCGTCCGGCCTTAATGTGAATCTTTCTTCCTGTGAGTTTAACTTATGTTTCCACTGTTCTGTACTCCAGCCCAGCGGGTGCCGGCTGTTTTAGGCTCTTTCTAAACAGCTCAGCTGTCACTAATGCACACTCCACCCTTCTGAAGCCTGAGGCTCTTGGCTCCCTAATCAGATTTGTGGATTGCAGTTGGGGGGTATGTAGGATGTTGTTGGGCAAAGCATGAAAGTGTTGGTGGCACAGACCAGTGAGAACTTATCAGCATTGAACCGTGTGCAAAGCGCTCCAGTGGTGTTCTCGGAAGGGCTCACCTTGCACGGAGTGTGAAATCGAAGATTCAGATTTCCATAAGACATTAGAGGCTTGATTTGCAGAGGTCAAGTTGCACCACGTTGCTGATGTCTGGTGTGGCAGGTGGTCCTGATGTTAGTTCTGAGGTTCCTCCCCATATCTAAATGGCAGATGATGTCACGCCCCTAAATACAACTTGCGCATTAACATTAAAGCAATTGAAATATTTATTGATGTTTCAACTATGAAATTTGACATGTTGCTGCAACAGGAAAACTCATGGCTCTTTAGGGAAAATGAGTGCCTGGCTGACTACCATCCGTGCAGTTTTGCTCCAGACCCCATTCCTGTTCACTGGTGTCGTTCATATTCGCGTCTTCCCTGTTTCCTTTATTCTCCCCACCTGCCCCCTCTCACACTGCATGTGCTTTCCTGTTTGCTTTTAGCCATCATGTGTTCAGTGAAGCCAGACGGGGTTCCTCAGCTGTGCAGAACGGATGAGATCGGGGAGCTGTGTGTGTGTGCAGTTGCGACGGGCACGTCCTACTATGGCCTCTCTGGCATGACCAAGAACACCTTTGAGGTAGGTGGAGGAGAGTCTTACCATGGGCACCATCTGTGGCTCCGTCTCCAAAGAGCCCTTGCCAGGTGCATAGTGATAGACGTGGAATGTAAGATCCATTTTAGCAAGACGTGTTTATATGAATGAAAACGATGGCACTTTACCACTTTTTATCGCTTTTGATAAATTTGTTTTATCAGCATTGTTCTGACCTTATAACCAGTGTTTAAAAGAATAAGCATGCTTTAAAAAGGATCCTTTTTGTTACTTTTCTCACTTTTACTGTGAAAAGTGGATCATTATTGAACGTGCACTTGTGTGCGTGAAGGGCCTTGCCTGGGGAAGCCAAGTGGAGCCCCTTTACAGCCCCTTGGCCTGGGCTACACGTGGCCAGGTACGAACCCTCGCCTGGGGAAGCCAACTAGAGCCCCTTTACGGCTCCTCGGCCTGGGCTAGATGTGGCCAGGTATGAACCTGTGAGAACTCGAGCACACGTGTATGTAACGATCTCAGTGGCACAAGCAAGTATGCATGTGGTGTACACAGATGCGTGTGTAATGTGCGTGCATGGGGCGTGTGCACAGATGTGCTGTGTAATGAAGGGCTCAGACACACGTTCAGTGCTGCAACTCAGAACTCTTATCTTTTTACCAAGTAGGTCCTGGCCTTAGAAGTAGCACAACATTTAAGTTATATGTAAGAAAATATAAATTGTTTGGGGATACATTTCCTAAATGTTTAGAACTTTTGGTTGTTGTTGAGACAGGGTCTTGCTCTGTCACTCAGGCTGGAGGGCAGTGGCACGTTCACAGCTCACTGCAGCTTCAAACTCCTGGGCTCAAGCCATCTTCCTGCCTCAGCCTCCGAGTCACTGGGAGTACAGGCGTGTGCCACCACACCTGAATAATTAAAAAAAAAATTCTTGTGTACATATGGGGTCTCATGCTGTTGTCCAGGCTGATCTCAAACTCCTGGCCTCAAGCAATCCTCCCATCTTAGCCTCCTAAAGTGCCGGGATTACAGGCATGAGCCACTGTTGCTGGTCTAAATGTTGAGAACTTTGGATGTGGCTGAACAGATGTTACAGTACCTGTCTATGATAGCTTTCTTGAGTGTGAATTCAACTTTCTAAAATATCCCTCGAAACTGAGCTGGATACAAATCTAAATAAAAACTCCATCTCCGTTTCTCTGGTTTATCTGCAAGGGTGGAGGAAAAAAGAGGGTTAGAGTTTGAACTGATCTGATTTGCTTCCTTAATATTTTTCTTTTCAGCATACTTCCAACAAGGGCAAATAACATTTTATGAATGAAGAGAGATTACTTTAAAACTAACAGACGTTGTTTAAAATGTACCTTGACTCTTCACTCGTCTTTTACATTGTGGTTTTGTAAACCAAGTAATCAGTTACTGCTGATTGGCCTCCTGTGAGACTTCTGGGTGTTATCTGTTCAGGGTTCAGAGGCAGGAGGCTCCAGCAGGTGAGTGGAGGTGCAGGAACGGATGGGGTCCTGCTGAGGTGGGCAGGAAGTGCTTTTCTGCCTCGAAGACTGTTGGCCACCAGCGGTCACTGTGACCTCGGCCCTAGGGCAGGGTTGCTGGGGTGAAAGGCAGAGCTTAAGCAAAGCAGGTGCCGTGCTCCCAGGAGTAGCGGCGAGGATTAAAACCAGCTGACCACATGAACAGTGGCCTGATGGATGCTGTTTCCCCCAGGTGTTTCCCATGACAAGCTCCGGGGCTCCGATCAGTGAATACCCATTCATAAGGACAGGCTTGCTGGGGTTCGTGGGTCCCGGAGGCCTCGTCTTCGTGGTGGGCAAGATGGATGGCCTCATGGTGGTCAGCGGGCGCAGGCACAACGCCGACGACATCGTGGCCACTGCGCTGGCCGTAGAACCCATGAAGTTTGTCTACCGGGGAAGGTCAGTGGCGTTCTGCAAATCAAGCATATGGTTTCCGGTCGGCCATATTTTTTATGTGGTTTTGAAGGGTTGAAAGTTGCACAGTTTCCTTAAATGTATTGTGTCTCCGTTTCCTCTTCCATGTTATTGAAGCAACTGGACTCTGACCTCTGAGATTTAATCCAGTTCTGAATGTCCAAGATTTTATAGAAATTCCCTGAGCTCCATAAATATATTTCCATTGAACTTCCCCTCTAAGTATAATAGAAATATGCATTAGAAAACTTATTTCTGATAAATAACTGCACAAATTAAAGATCCAGATATCCATCGTGGAGCGGGTTGGAGAGACCCAAGGACAATGGTTCAGTCACAGACTTGTGTGAGTGCAGACGCTCGCCACCTCCCCGCTCTACCAGTTTTCTTCTCCCTGCCTTGCCTGGTGCACAGTGGAGGCTCCGTGATGAAATAAGTTGCCACGGTTCCTGAGTTTTTGCCAATCTGGAGGAAGTCATAAAGTGTTTTAGAGCCTTTTTTCAGTTTGGAAGCTGATGGGAGCAGGAAGTAGATACCTGGATATGATGTTGCTGCCTTTGAATTATCTTTACAGCTACAATCTCTTTTACTGGAGGTGACTGTGCTGTGCTGACAGTATAAGGCACATACACTTAGCAGAAAATCACTAGTTCTGAAACGGCAAATTTCTACTGATTTGGAGACCGTTAACTTCACGGGTGCAAACTCGAGCTGTGAAGGGTGTGACTCCCTAAATTTCAGCAGGTCTGATCATTGCGCATTTGCCCCTCTGTACCGAAAGGCGCAACCTGGTCACCAGAGCCCGCGGGTGCTGTGTGTGGCCTCCGTGGGGATCAGGGTGACCTTGCCTCGGCAGCATCCCTGGGCGCCTCCCACAGTTCTTCCCGTACTGATGAGTGTGGGGAAATTCGGAAGTACAGCGGCCGTTTTGAAGTCGTAGTTGGAGCTGTGTCACTCACTAGTGATGGTTATGGAGCCCCTGATGGCGGAGGGAGGGCTGCATGAGCGTCCCCGGCGCGTGCTCACCATGCTCCTGTGTCCCCGCAGGATAGCCGTGTTCTCGGTGACCGTGCTGCACGACGAGAGGATCGTGATCGTGGCTGAGCAGAGGCCTGACTCCACGGAAGAGGACAGTTTCCAGTGGATGAGCCGTGTGCTGCAGGTTGCCCTCCCTCGCCCTGGGCACTGGTCCCCTGTGTCTTGTTTCTGGCCTCCTTACTTCATTCAGATCATGGTGTGACCAGCTGTTGCTTTGCCCATGGGGTGGCCCTTTTTCCCTTCCCTTCATTTGATCAGGAACTACATCAAGTGTCCAGAAACTAGCTCAGCAGATCGAGGGTGTAGGGACCAGGAATTTGCACAGCTGGTTCCTACCGGACACCTTGGGGAGGTCGAAGTAAGCTTTTTGTTTGATCTTGAGAACATGTTATCTTTTCTCCAAAGTTCCTTTTTTACTGTGTATGGTCTTCCACAAGCCCTGGGTAACATTATTCAGCTTTGGTGAGTTTAGTAGGAAAATCCTTTCTCTTACCTTGGCATTTTTATGCTGGGAACAGTGCTTATACTGCACAGACTTCTGTGTATTGTGGATCATATTTTGCATAATATAAATACGTACTGTTTATACTTCCTCTTATAACATGATTTCCTCTTTATTAACTTTCTAGGCGATTGACAGTATACATCAAGTTGGAGTTTATTGCCTGGCCTTGGTGCCAGCAAACACCCTCCCCAAAACCCCGCTTGGTGGGATCCATTTATCAGAAACAAAACAGCTTTTTCTGGAGGGCTCTCTGCACCCCTGCAATGTCCTAATGTGCCCCCACACCTGCGTCACAAACTTGCCTAAGCCTCGACAGAAGCAGCCAGGTATGTGCACCACTTGGGCAGCTTGTGAGGTGCGGGAGTTCCCTTGGGGCTGCACGGCACTGGGAGGTGCGGGAGTTCACCCAGGGCTGCTTGCAGGAAGCTGATGCTTGCGGGAAAGAAGTGGTTACCCCAAGAAAATAGAATGGGTGGGGGCAACTTGGATTCTGGTCTTCTGGCTGTAAATGCCTTGCTTTTATTCTCTGTAGGCTCAGGGGTGTTAGTGTGGTCGTCAGCACGTAACTTACTGGCTCTGTTCTCCCGTAGCAAAAGCTCATTCTCCTGAAGGACACGGCCACGGTGCTCTCACTTTCTAAGCACATTGGGTTCACACGTATGGTTGCTCTTTCATTTCTGACCTACTTCTAATTTTTTTCTTATGTTGCAGATTTCCTTAAATATTCCTCCTCCATTTCTTTTTTTTTTCCCCCACACCATTGTTCTCATGGTCTCTGGTGTTTGATTGGCACAGTTTGTTTCCGCCCCCTCCCACACACGGCTGTTCTCATGGTCTCTGGTGTTTGATTGGCACAGTTTTCCCCCCACACTGTTGTTCTCGCGGTCCCTGGTTTTTATGATTGACACGGGGAATGTGGAGTTGCAGGGAACAGTATCCATTTCACCACATTCTGTGGGTGCGTGGCCTTCTGTTGGGAGCCGCTCAAGCCATGGGCATCGTCCCTCAGGGAGTGCTCTGAAAGGGTGGAAAACGCTGCCTCTGTCTGCCGCCTCGGGACGTAAACAGCCTTGTGAAGGACACGGAGGCAGTTGCTCTCCCCAGGCTGTTTCTGTAGTATGAAGATTTATAATGGTGTCAGCGCTCTCCAGGGTATCCTCATTGTAAACTCCGAAGTGACCTGATCCTCTCTCCCCACTGTTTGATTGTCAGACACTCTCAACCCAGCAACCCCAGTGACCCACGGTCCCAGCTGGGAAGTAGTTCAGTAGCTGGTGGAGACAGGGTTCAGACAAGTGTTTATGGAAGGAGGAGGATCCTTTGCAAATACAAAGCTGTAATGACTCCATAGCTACAGGGCTCGGCTCACCTGAGCCAAATGTCGAGAAGCCCAGTGACCGGGAAAACCCAGGCGAGAGAGAGCAGCCAGCAGCCTCACGCCGAGGTCAGGAAAACCCAGTGGGGAGACAGAGCCAGCAACCTCACACTGCGGTCAGGAGTGTGACCTCCTGCAGAAAGCCCTCTTCCTTAGGAGTTTAGCTGGGGAATAGTGGCCCAGGAGATTGGAAATCTTTTTACTCTAATAATGTACTTCATTAAATGAAGCTTCATGTGATTGATAACTTGAAAGAAAGAAAATAGTATATATATATTTAGTGTCTCATCTGTTTTTGCTAAACTGAGAGGTTACATAATTTTGTGTCTTTAAAAAGCTTTTTAACAAATATTAACTGGCAGAGCTGAGGCCCTACGTCTCTGCTGAGGGCCTGATACGCAGCTTAGCAGACGTCCCCTGCCCCGGGGCCCCAGCTTCGAACCACAGAGAAGGGAATTGGGCTGGATGATTTCTAAGGCCCCTTCGAATAAACATTTAAAATGACCCTGACAGGTGAGTAGCCATTATTGGAAGCCAAAGCAAACATTCGTTGAGGCCATTTGTGGGTGACAGTGTTCTGAGATGCTGGAAACAGAGACAGCCTATTGACACCCAAATTGCCTTTCTTACTGCATGAATTCATATTTACTCAGTTAATGGCACTGTGTACCCTCAGATTATCTTATTTGAGCACAAAAGTATTAAGAGACCTTTAACTCAGCAGCTGAGCTGGCAAAAATATTACAGAGTTACAAAACAAGGTACAATTCCACAGCTTTAAAGGTCCCTGGGAATATTGCCCCCGAATAGCAGGAAGAGTCTGCTGAGGCCAGAGCCTGGCACCTGGGAAGGGCTTGCCTCCCACTTGGGATTTGTGTGTCTCGCTGCTGTCTTTGAGATAAAACTCCCGCCCTGTGCCCTGAGCGAATTCGCCAAGCATTGCATGGTAGGATATTTGATAATACCAGCGATGCGGCTGCCGACTTGCAGATGGGTGAATCCATTAATGGGAGCGGGAAGAGAAAAGAGACATGAGCCTCAAATACACACGTTTTGGGATTCCTCTCAACTCTGTAGCTTAAATGGCGAGGCTGTGATATACCCTGGGGGCATTTGGGACATGCCCACCTCTCTTCAACAGGGGACACTGTCAGCTGCTGCCAAGAACAGACTTTGAGAGTGAGGTGCAGCTAGAAGGCCTCTGCCTCCCAGGAGCAGTCGGGAAAACAGGCCCTAGTCTGCATGGGGAGGCATTCAAGGTCCCAAACTTCCATTCAGAGGATGCACGTGGAGATGAGGGAACGTGCTACGTCTTCATGTAGCAAACGGGCACAAAATAAGGCTCCACAAAAAGCCTGATCTCTCCTCAAAAGCTCGCTTTCCCTACCCCAGTCTGAATTCTTAAAAACATTACGGGAAACCTTGGAACCCATTTAGGCCAGTTTCCAAGTTGACTTCTTAGAAGAGCCGTCTCGTCTTGCCCAGCATCGGTCACCAAGGAGAAGGCTCAGAGCTTCATCAGCCAGGCGCAGTGGCTCACGCCTGTGGTCCCAGCAATGCGGGAGGCCAGGATGGGAGAATCAGTGGAGCCCAGGACTTCGAGACCAGCCTGGGCAACATAGTCAGATTCTGTCTCAAAAAAAATCTGTTAAAGATGCTTCATTCAGAAGACGCTTCTATCTGGTAGAGATAGAGGATGCGCAGCGGGTGAATGAGGGTCTCCCGGGTGTTGTGTTCTGAGATCGTGCAGGGGCTCCCAGGTGTTTGGAGATCACAGAGGGGCAATTGTTCCCACCACGGGGCAGCTCCCTTCCTTCCAGAGCCTGACAAATTCTTTTGCTAAATGTGAAAAGGCTATTCCTCTTCCATACTTCATTAAGAACTAAGAAAAGAAATTCAGTCTGTTCACAACTACGACGTGAAAATTCAAAAATGATTTGCCGAGTGTAGGAGGCATCTTACTGTTACACAGAGTCCAGACTCGAGGCTCCTACACGTCGCCTAGAACCCAAGGCACCGGCAGGCAGCAGCCCAGACATCTGCTCATAGACCGTTCTCCTCCAGATTTCAATCCTGGCTGAAGTGCCGTGCCTTCTCCTGCGCAGCTGTGATAAGTGGAATCGTTTCTGGCAGCCTGCATTTGAAAAGGATGGCCGTGCATCTGTAGAGAGCCGGTGGCCCTGCTCTCCCTGGGGGCCGGCTAGAGGACGTCAGGCCCTGACTGCCTTGTTCTGGTGCCACCATTTCCGTGAGCTTTTTGGGAAGCCGAGGGACATCGGTTGTCATGGTGATGGGCTCATCCGAAGCCTTGTTCTGTGCCACTGCCCCGTCAGCTGCATCTGGGCACGTGTGTCTGTTTTTGACACGGCTATGAGCAACCTGCTTAGCCATAGCCCTGCTTGTGCAGTAACTAATGCAGCATGTGGCCTGGCTTAGAAACCTGTTACTTGACCTTTATCGGGAATTTAAGAATTTGATTTAATAGTAGCCTTCAAACCAAGGATTAGGCATAAATTGATCATATCATTGTTATTTTACCTGCAATTCTTTTGGTAAACATTCTTTTACTCTCCCTGCTTCCTCTGCTCCTCCCCCTGCCCATCCCCCATCCCTCTGCCCCCTCCAATCCCCCGTCCCCCACCTCCCACCCCCGTCCCCCACCTCCCACCCCCGTCCCCCACCTCCCATCCCCCATCCCCCGTCCCCCACCTCCCACCCCCGTCCCCCACCTCCCATCCCCCGTCCCCCACCTCCCATCCCCCGTCCCCCACCTCCCACCCCCGTCCCCCACCTCCCATCCCCCGTCCCCCACCTCCCACCCCCGTCCCCCACCTCCCACCCCCCCTTCTTCCCCACTTTCCCCAGTTGGTAGTCATCTCATCGCTCATGGATAAGCGATGACTTTATGACAGCCCTTGGTTTATTCTTCCACACCTCACTGTGGGCCTGACAGAACCTAAGACCTTTTCAGTCAGTATAACATACCGAGAAGCGACTCTATCCTGTCCCGTCCACAGTATCACTCTCTGACTCCACCCCACGACATCTGTATGTGAAATGTCCACTGTCTGTTTGTCCACAGCCAGCTCTCAGGTGTGTGGACCCCAGAGAACTCGAACAGACGGGAGCCACAGGTCTCTGCAGTGAGACAAATCGTGGCTTTTAATTCTGTGTGTGTCTTCCGTTTTATTTTTTACAATCATGGCTGTGAGTGCCGGCACACGGGGCTCTCACATTAACTGGAAAGTCAGGCGTGGGCTTGGAGGGCCTCCAGGGAGCTTCAGGGATGATAAAAACATCGTTTCTGAAGAACCTGACCAAGGCTTGTTACACTCCCCCTTCACAATCATTTGATTTCGTTGAATCTCTGTTCTTAGAAGGTTTATTCAAAGCCAGGTCTTTCCAGAAGTTTTCCGAGAGTAAGGTCTTTACCAAAGTGGGAGGTCTAGTCTGAAGGAATTTCTCTTTTGTTTCCTCATGGCCATGTCTCTGTTTCTTTCTAGAAATCGGCCCTGCCTCTGTGATGGTGGGGAACCTGGTCTCTGGGAAGAGAATCGCCCAGGCCAGTGGCAGAGACCTGGGTCAGATCGAAGATAACGACCAGGCACGCAAGGTAGGAGCTGGGTCCCTGAGTCTCCCCGACCGTCCCCGACTTTTCCGACTGTCCCCGACCATCTGCGACCATCCCCGACAGTACCCGACTGTCCCCTACCTTCCCTGACAGTCCGCGACAGTGTCTGACTGTCCGCAACCGTCCCCGACAGTCCCCGACTTTCCCGACAGTCTCCGATGTCGCGCGCTGGTGGTGGACCACCACTGCAGATCTTCCTTTATTCTACCTGTCCTCTCCTGCAAGAGACCATATAATTTCATAAGAAAAATGTGTTTATAGGAGATACAAAGTTTCAGAAAATGTCACAGCGATGCAGAAATCGGTGAGGGGTGTCCAGTCCCACGACTCGCAGGACCGAGGCAAATGTCTGGCAGTCCTTGTCCCGCGCACGGTCCCCTGAACTACTCCTTTCTAGTTTCCCCACCAGCCCGGATTCAAAGCCCACCCTGCCCACAGCAGCTTGCAGCAAGGCTTCTGTCCTGTGCTCTGTGGACTCTAAGAAGCAGTTCAAAACCCAGGTTAGGGGGCCAGGCCTCCTAACAGTGGCGTTAGAAGCCGTGGGAGAAACTCCCGAGGCCCAGACTTTGCACATTGTGCCGTGTGCGTCCACGGTCCCCATTAGAACCGTTCGGCCTTCCTGTTTCCCACAGCCAAAAGTGTGCCCTTGTGTGTGGCCCATTAGGAAATGGGGCAAAATCAGCACCGTGAAATGTTGATGAAACGGATGAAACCTTATCTGTGGGTTTTTCTGTACCCTGATGTGAAATAAGGCTGCCCCTTTTACTGTGGACCAGCTCAGTAGCACACATGTGGTTTGTTTAATTTGTGGCTTCATGCCATCAGGGTATTGCCATTCTAGAAACCTAAATTTATTAGATCCCGCTTTTTAAAACCAGATAGATCTGATTCTCTCACTGTAGCCACCAAAATCCGCTTTGCATCTTCTGGAAGCCCCAGGAGAAGGGATTTCTGTGCAGGCTGCTCCTGCCTATGAGGGAAATGGTTCCCATCCTTGGGCAGACTTTCAGAAAACTTCTCACACCAGGGTGCAGCACCAGCCCTTTGCTTTGTGACCCTGACTCGGGTGCTGTGAACCTAAGTCCCTGCAGGAACAAAGCTGTGGGCACTTGCTTGTCCTGTGGTCGTGTGTGACGGGGATTTTCCCAGCATGCATGTCTTCAACTCCCTGCAGAGAAGCATGCGGTTTTAAGACCCAAAGCACTCAGCCTCTATGGGTTTGAGTATCCAGGTTGCCCCACCTCAGCCCGCACAGCCTGATCCAACCGCACAGCCTGATCCTCATGCCCGTGCTCTGTTCCAGTTCCTGTTCCTCTCAGAGGTCTTGCAGTGGAGAGCACAGACCACCCCGGACCACATCCTCTACACGCTGCTCAACTGTCGGGTGAGGCGCGGAGCTGGCCTTCCCTGGCTACTGGCCTCAAGGGGCCTAGCCTGGTTCCTGGGAGCGCTCCTGCTTCTTTCTTTGAATCCTTTTGCTTCAGTCTTATGGGAATTCTTTTTATGTTTTGCTATTTTGACTGAGACTTTTGTACCTAGGGATTGTTTTTAAACGTAACCATTTGTGCAGTTATTTACACCTATTTGTGTGTACAGATATTTTAGCAACCTATTTACAATATTTCTCCCCCAAAATGAGTAATGATATCTGCAAGAGAGAAATCGTAAGTCTATGAGATATTTGCATTTTTATTTTGATTACTAAACTAGTTTTTGTTTTGTTTTGTGTTTTGAGGCAGTCTCGCTCTGTTGCCCAGGCTAGAGTTCAGTGGCACGATCTCCGCTCACTGCAACCTCCACCTCCCTGGTTGAAGCAATTCTCGTGCATCAGCCTCCGGGTAGCTGGGACTACAAGTGCCCACCACCACATCTGGCTAATTTTTGTATTTTTAGTATTTAGAGATGGGGTTTCACCATGTTGGCGAGGATGGTCTTGAATTCCTGGCCTTGAGTGATCCACCTGCCTTGGCCTCCCAAAGTGCTGGGATTACAGGCGTGAGTCACCACACCGAGCCCTAAACCACTTTTTTATACACCAGAAGTTATGTTTATTGCAGACTCAGGAATGAAAATCATTTCCACTTTGTAATTAAATTTCCTGTTTACACTTTACATGAGAAAACTACACTCATCAAATATTGTTCCACCGTAGTACTTAAGAGTAAGGCATTAAATAAACAAGCTAATACTATTAACAAGAAAAATTAAATGCAAAAATCTTAATATGCTTGTTACTACTTTTTACCATGGAAATAAAGCTTGAAAAATGGAAGAAAAATGTAAGTCTTCTTGACAAGTATAGGTACTTGCAACTCTTCAAAAAGTCATGGCTGTTTAGAATTGCTGAGTATCAAAATCTTAGTGTGCGAAGCAGCAGATTGAAGACAAAAGGAAATGCCAGCAGCATCACGAAATTATTCCCCGACTCTCTGGTTTGAGTTTCAGTTATCAGACCATTCTCTGCACGTGGCTTAGTTCATAGGAACAACCTCTCCTCCTCCTCTGCCAGAGAAGCGCGTGTCGTCTTGACGTTGTCACGGATGCTGAGTTGATCCCAGCCATTGGTCGTTCACTGTATCTGCTCAAGACTGTTTCCCAGGAAGAGGCTTTAAAACCAGGAAGGCCCGTTTCTGCCACCACCTTCTGGCCCTCGTTCGCTGGTGCTGTGACGGAGCCCCTGCCCCACGCTGAGAGCTCAGGTGTGGGGGCCGGAGATCTTGAGGACTGGAGTTGCTGTGGGTCCCTGTATCTGAAATGCCCACCTTCCACTTTTCATCTTTCTCCACTGGACCCTTCCTCAGCCTGTGAATATGGATGATACCCCCTTTGCTAACCCGATCGCCAGGTTCGCCGGCCTTGGGTGCTGTCTTGATTTCCTGCCCATCTCTGCTTGTCTGACTTTGTCCTCTCCCAGTAGTGTTTCTCCTGTAAACTGCCTGTGACTTCTCGTTCCTCTTTCCCTGTGGTCTTGGCAGTTCTCTAGAGATTTCCAGTATCATCTCCAACGTGGTGACCTAAATCTGCAGCACTAACTCCAGCCTCCTTCGGCACCCCAGATCCCTTCTGCTGAAAGTGCTTCCTCCCTCCCCTAATTTCCTCACAGAGGTGGCTACCCCTCCGCAAGCTGCAAGCAGTCAGGGGCAGAGTCAGCTCTCAGTCTCCCTGAATCTCTGCCTTGATGTTGCCTGACACGCTGCTCCCATGTGTGGGGGTTGCACAAGCATGTGTCCAGTAATCTAGAGGTATTGATGGGCAGCTCAAGAAGTAGCAGACCCCCATATACGCAAAGATTCAGACATGATTTGGGTACGTTCATGGGCAACATGTACCATCAGGAGGAGGAAAATAGAGCTGTTCCAGCTGTGCCTGATTTGGGGAAGATCCCTCAGATTGCTGGGTGGTGCCATGGTCCTGGGCTTGGCATCTGGTCTATCTGGCCCTGTGGACAGCCCAGTGTCCCTGAACACCTGTGGTCACCTGCATAGCTGGATGCTGGATCTTCAGGGAAAATGTATTTCCCGGAAATGATTCCGGTTCTCTAAAAAGGGCTTTATTAGGATCAACTGCAAATCCGATGGGGGCCAGATGTAGGGATCAGAGCCATGAGTGATTTACCTTAGGACTGTGTGGAAGGCATGGCCTGAGGATGTCTTTTCCTTGGAGGTGTGAGCTGTTTCCAAGGCTCGCTGGACACAGAGGCAGGCACGCTTGAGCTATTGCTTGTGTTATTTTGCGCCAAGCATCAGATCAGGCATGGGTCCTTCGCTCCTCTGCTGCCTCGTATGCACACTGAAGAGATGCTGGGCCTGGACCAAGGTAGCAGCATCGTCCTCACGGCATTCATAGTGTCTTTCCCCACCTAAATCAGCTTCCCTGTTCAGCACCGTCCAGCGGAAACTCAGTACACGCCACATACAGAATCATGCATTTTCTAAAAGCAAGATTTTAAAAAGGAAGAAGAAACATGAAATTCGTTCCAGTGATGAATCACTCCACACACCATAAGTGTCCGTTCAGCACGTACACCAGCCCCCCAGCCGCTGCTTCCATCAAGGATGCACGTTTCTGCTGATGATGAATTTGGCCCGGTCTTGCTGGCCGTGTAGTCACAAGCTCATTTAAAGTGGTGGAGGCCAGGCACCATGGCTCACGCCTGCAATCCCAGCACTTTGGGTGGATCAGTTGAGGTCGGGAGTTTGAGACCAGCCTGGCCAACATGGTGAAACCCCGTCTCTACTAAAATACAAAAAAAAATAGCTGGGTGTTTTGGCACATGCCTGTAATCCCAGCTACTTGGGAGGCTGGAAGCACGAGAGTCGCTTGAACCCGGGAAGCAGAGGTTGCAGTGAGCCAAGATCATGCCACTGCACTCCAACCTGGGCAACAGAGCAAGACTCTATCTCGAAAAAAATTAAATGGTTGAACCAATGGGTTTGTAGCCAACTCTTTTGACCTTTTTTAACTTATACCTTCTTTAGAATTTTAAAATATAAATTTAGTTTGGCTTTTTCTTCTTGGGTTTTTTTTCCCCCAAGTTGTTTGATTTAATGTGAAACGTTAAAATGGTCCCAAGTTTACAGAAACTGACAGTGAATGTGTGTCCTTAGACAAGGGCAGACTCTTTGTGTTTCCCTGTGTGCCCCTCCGGTCATGCTGCCTCCCAGCACTTCTGTGGGGGAAAAGCCAGCCCTCATTTCTCTGATGAAATGGTTTTACCTAGAACCTTCTTCTTAGCTGGTGGGTTTCAGGACGGAAACCCCAGTGAATGTTGATGAGGATGCCAGAGAATGACGACTGTCACCTGCGGTGAATGGTTGTTGCTTTATGGGACACTCGCCGAGAATGCATCACATTCTTAACACGGAGTTCATGGGAAAATGGAAAGTGCAAGCAAAAGTTACTGGCATTTCTCCTGGGGTAGAGGCTGCATTAGGATTCCTGGGGAGCAAGGCTGAGGAACAGTGTCACGTGTGTGGAGTTGCCGTGTGGTGTAGCTGTGTCCCGTTCAACCACACGGGGTGGGGAAAGGTGGCAAGGAAGAAGGGACACTGCTCAGTCGCTGCAGGTGCCTGGGACTGCCAGCCTGCAACGTGAGCCAGGAGCGACTGTCCCTCCCAGCCAACGGTGGGGTCCAGTGTTCACTCACCTCGTCCTTTCCAGGCAAGAAAGGCGCCCACCTGGTGTGACCCATGGCCCTGCCTGGCCATGGAGCGAGGGGTGTCTGCTCATGTCCGACCGGCTGTGAAATCGTGTGCCTGTCTCCAGCACAGCACTATCTCAAGGGGCTTTTTAAGAACTTAATTTAAATCACCCTGTGAGCTGGCTTTGGGACCTAACACCTGAGAAGGGCACCGTCCTCGTGGAGCGTGCCTGGAAGCTTTGCTGTTTGTTTTTATGTCAGCCCTGAAAGACATCAACCAGCATTGAGAAAATTGTGTTTCACAGGGTTATCAAAGATAAAGGACAGCATGCATGTTACACTCATGCTTTGCAAGTACCTACAGGTGGGGATTTCTGTGCACCAGAATCAAAACATTTTCAAAGACACTCTTGGCTGCTGGCTGTGTCTCATCTGAGCCTCTCAAATCTCAGGACCCAGAATGTGGGCAAACCACAGGCTTTGTCATCTGACAGCAAAGCGGGTGTTTGATAGGAAATCAGCTTCAGCTCTCCAGAGATGGGGAAGAAACAGTTCCACAAGCCGAACAAACCAGACTGGGCACTGCTGCTGCAGGCAGGCCTGGCATGAGAATGGACTGTGGGGGTCGGGGCCTCCCTCAGCGGGGCGGGGGCTGAGCTGATTCTGCCAGGGCTCTTCTCTGAGACGCGTCCATGCTCACAGCGATGGGTGGTGTGCTGGTTTTCCTTGTTGGGAGACCTGCCCCTGGAGTCGGGGTGGACTTGAATGGGTCCCATCAGCACCCAGCCTGGCCGTGCTGGGTGTCTCTGTCCCATGTTCACTTGAAGAGCTCAGAGGACGTTGGCGGCAAGGAGCCGGTGGGCTGGTTGCTGTGAACAGGTGGCAAGGAGCCCCTCTAAGAGTAAATGCTCAGAGGAACAGTCCAGTTTCAAAGGCCCCCAAATCTGTCTTCTCAGCAGGATTTCCCGGACTCCAGCCCTGCGTTCCTTGTTGTCTCTGCCCATCTCTGCTGCCACCTGCTCTTGGGCTCTTCTACTTTAAATCAGTTTCTGTTTTCTAATTTTTTAGGTGTCCTCTAAGTGGGGAAATAATCAAGGAAAATGTGTGGGATGAGAAGGTTGAATTCAGAGAAATGTAAGCTAATCCTCTCCATGGAGGAGACCAGCCACAGGCGGCAGGAAGGGTCTGAAGACCCACCGGGCAGTGACGTGGGCCGCCTCCCCGCAGCCCTGGTCCTGGCCCTGGCGCAGAGGTCCTCAGGGAGAGTATACTTTCCCCACAGACCTCGCTGCGCTCATCGGCTGTCTTGTGGACGTTTTGGTAGAGGTCAGGGTCAGGTGTTCACATCTTGATGCTTCCTGAGACATTATCTTCCACTCACCGTGCCCCGCCATGTGTTTCTGACACGGGCCCTTCGAGCTGGGAGGCTGACGTGCTTTTCCCAGCATCGCCGATGAATAGCCCCAGATACTGTTCGTCCGTGCGGCGTCCTTTTGGTTGCACTAACTCGGCTACCCGCAAGCCCCTCTGGGCCTCTCTCCCTGCGCCTTCACTCTGAATCGCAGTGTCTGGTCCCCGACAGCCATCTCGGGCTCGCTGTGCACTCTGTCCCCAATCTCTGAATCACAGCGTCCGGTCCCGACAGCCTTGCCAGGCCCGCCGCGCGCTCCATCCCTACACTCATGCATTCATCTTTGTAGCTGTGACTCACATAAGAATTCCTGGGCTGGGCATGATGGCTCACACCTGTAATCCCAGCACTCTGGGAGGCCAAGGCGGGCGGATCATGAGGTCAGGAGTTCAAGACCATCCTGGCCAACATAGTGAAACCCCCATTTCTACTAAAAATACAAAAATTAGTTGGGCGTGTTGGTGTGCATCTGTAGTCCCAGCTGCCCAGGAGGCTGAGGCAGGAGAACGGGAGAATTGCTTGAATCCGGAAGGCGGAGGTTGCCGTGAGCTGAGATCGCGCCACTGCACTCCAGCCTGGCGACAGAGCGAGACCCCATCTCAAAAAAAAAAAAAAAAAAAAAAAAATTCCTGAGCCCGGGTGTTCAGTCACTCTTCGGCTCTGCAGTCTTCCTGACCCCATGGACTGCAGTCCAGTTGCCCACTGCTTGAGGGAAGATCCTCACCCTGTTAATAGCTGTGAGACAGAATCTGATCACAAAGAAGAGGTTGTTAAATGACTGTAGAAGCCGTCTTCACATCTGAGAGTGCTGCAAAGGAACTAGGACTGTAAAGTGTGTCCTCAGGAAAAGCTTGTTTCGGTTAGTTACGTGCTTATAATTTGTAATTTATTCACATTTGTCTTTATGGCTTAAATAGGCCAAGATGGGAAGATCACTTGAGGCCACGAGTTTGAGACCAGCTTGGGCAATGTAGGGAGACCCCATCTCTATGAGAGAATTTTTTTTTAAAATTAGCCAGTCATGATGGTGGCACCTGTAGTCCCAGCTACTTGGGGCTGAGGCAGCAGAATTGCTTGAGCCCAGCAGGTCCAGGCTGCAGTGAGCAGTGATCATGCCACTGCACTCCAGCCTGGGAGACAGAGACCCTGTCTCAAAAAACAGCGAATCCCACACTCTTGCGATGTTTCTTGGTATATATCTTGCAACTCACCTTCCCTCACAACCCTCGTGTAAGGTATTTTCCTGCACAAATATGTTTTCTATTTGTTTGTACATTAAAGTCTATGTGAAAATGCGTTTGATAGTTCTTTTCATTCCTGTAGGGTGTGTTTGTTTATTTTGCTTTTGTTTTTTGCTTTCTGACTTCCTTGATTTTTGATGTGGTCTTTCTAAATAAAATTTTTTAATTAGTCTTCCGATGTGCAGGTGTACTAGGAATTCCCACTGCCCACGACAATGACACAAGTCCCAGAATTGCCAGGGTTTTTTGTTCTACCGTTTTTTAATTCACGTAATCATTTTTTAAAATATTGCTTGTTACTCTAAATATATCTAGATGTTTCTTTGGTCTGCACTGCTTACCTAGTTGGAAGAAAATGGAGTTGACCTCTAACGTATATGTAGTTTTGGGGGAGGCTAAAAACGTTCTAAAATTGACTGTCATGTTGGTTGCACAGGTCTGTGCTTGTTCTAAAAACCAGTGATGTATGCTTTGCGCCAGTGAGTTGTATGACGCGTGCGCGCTCTCTGCAAGCTGCTCTGCTGAAGGAATCTTATGTGCTTGTCCCTGTGATCGGCCCGCAGGGTGCGATAGCGAACTCGCTGACCTGCGTGCAGCTGCACAAGAGAGCTGAGAAGATCGCCGTGATGCTGATGGAGAGGGGCCACCTTCAGGACGGCGACCACGTGGCCTTGGTCTACCCCCCAGGTACAGGCGCAGGGTGGGCTTCCCCTGAGAGATGGCAAGCCGGTCAGCCGCGGTGCGAGGAGGTCCCTTACACCCGCTGGTGCCTGAGCCGAGGGTCGCGTCATGGCTGGGAGTCTGCACTGTATCCAGCTGGATGCTAACCAGCCCGTTTGTGTCTGGCTACGACCACTCACAGGCACCAGCCGCATGTGCTACTGTGAGAGGCGTCAATAAAGTGATGCTTTCAATGACTTTTATATCCAAATTTGTGTTATTAGATACCTCAGGTAATTCACTTAATAGTACCTAAATCTTGACTAAATTCACAGTTACAAAGGTGGGTAATTCCTTAGCAAAATGATGTAGACATTAAACCTCCAGGCTGCCTCGTCACCTCATGTCTGAAAGGACAGGTAAATGACAGTGACCGCCAAAGCTGACAAAACCCGCCAGGATGACGGAGGCTGTGAGAAGCTCAGCTGCTCGTTTCCCTGTTGAACTTGCCCCAGACAAGCATTGATGCTGACAGGGAGAGTGTGCACTCAGCAGCGTGGTCTGCTTCAATGATGATGTTTCTCTCCTTGTGTAGGAATAGACCTGATAGCAGCGTTTTATGGTTGCCTGTACGCAGGCTGTGTGCCAATAACCGTCCGTCCCCCGCACCCACAGAACATCGCGACGACGTTGCCTACCGTCAAGATGATTGTGGAGGTAACATGCCTGGGAATGTCGGGGCCTCCACCTGCCTGGAGCTGAGTGTGGAGCTTGCAACGCGCAGACTCTGACATCTCTTGGGGCAGCTGCTGGCTGTGGAAGCCGGGGTGTGTCTGGAGTCAAACGGTCAGGACAGGGTCTCTACCTGCAGGGAGCCTAGAGTCTAGGTCTAGAAGCGAGATGTAAACGTGTGTGGAGGCAGAGGCTGGATGGTAGCCTCTGCAGGGTCTTCCCTGGAGAAAACGGCTCCCAAGAGAGGGCATCACCACCATTCCTCGGGCTTCCTCACGAACCCAGCTGAGCAGACCGACCACGGGAAGAGGCAGGGCTTTTTCCAAAGCCCTCTCCTCAAGATGTGGAAGTTTCCTGCTCCTTTTTGAAAGTATAGATCTGTTTTCCTTCGTCTACAGCTGGAGGAGTTTGAGAGGATTCAGCTATATTTTCCTCGTTGAAGGAGGAAGTACAGGGGAGAACAGTGTGGGCAGAGAATGCACCTGTCCTACCCACACCTGAGTCCCTTTTGGCATGGTCCTGGAGACCTGCACAGTGGCCACTCCTAGAAAGTGTGGCGACGCGTCTGGGTGCGTGTGGGGTTTCCAGGAGAGCTATGCGCGACGCGTCTGGGGTTTCCGGGAGAGCTATGCGCGACGCATCTGGGTGTGTGTGACGTTTCCAGGAGAGCTATGCGCGACGCGTCTGGGTGAGTGTGGGGTTTCCGGGAGAGCTATGCGCGACGCGTCTGGGTGCGTGTGGGGTTTCCGGGAGAGCTATGCGCGACGCGTCTGGGTGCGTGTGGGGTTTCCAGGAGAGCTATGCGCGATGTGTCTGGGTGAGTGTGGGGTTTCCGGGAGAACTATGCGCGATGTGTCTGGGTTGGGTGTATGTAGGGTTTCCGGGAGAACTATGCGCGATGTGTCTGGGTTGGGTGCGTGTGGGGTTTCCGGGAGAGCTATGCGCGATGTGTCTGGGTGAGTGTGGGGTTTCCGGGAGAACTATGCGCGATGTGTCTGGGTTGGGTGTATGTAGGGTTTCCGGGAGAACTATGCGCGATGTGTCTGGGTGCGTGTGGGGTTTCCGGGAGAGCTATGCGCGATGTGTCTGGGTTGGGTGCGTGTGGGGTTTCCGGGAGAACTATGCGCAATGTGTCCGGGTGAGTGTGGGGTTTCCGGGAGAACTATGCGCGATGTGTCTGGGTGCGTGTGACGTTTCCGGGAGAACTATGCGCGATGTGTCCGGGTGCGTGTGACGTTTCCGGGAGAACTATGCGCGATGTGTCTGGGTTGGGTGTGTGTGACGTTTCCGGGAGAACTATACGCGATATGTCTGGGTTGGGTGAGTGTGGGGTTCCCGGGAGAACTATGCGTGATGTGTCTGGGTTGGGTGCGTGTGGGGTTTCCGGGAGAACTATGCACGATGTGTCTGGGTTGGGTGCGTGTGGGGTTTCCGGGAGAACTATGCGCGATGTGTCCGGGTGAGTGTGGGGTTTCCGGGAGAACTATGCGCGATGTGTCCGGGTGAGTGTGGGGTTTCCGGGAGAACTATGCGCGATGTGTCCGGGTGAGTGTGGGGTTTCCGGGAGAACTATGCGCGATGTGTCCGGGTGCGTGTGACGTTTCCGGGAGAACTACGCGCGATGTGTCCGGGTGCGTGTGACGTTTCCGGGAGAACTACGCGCGATGTGTCCGGGTGCGTGTGACGTTTCCGGGAGAACTACGCGCGATGTGTCCGGGTGCGTGTGACGTTTCCGGGAGAACTACGCGTGATGTGTCTGGGTGCGTGTGACGTTTCCGGGAGAACTACGCGCGATGTGTCCGGGTGCGTGTGACGTTTCCGGGAGAACTACGCGCGATGTGTCCGGGTGCGTGTGACGTTTCCGGGAGAACTATGCGTGATGTGTCTGGGTGTGTGTGACGTTTCCGGGAGAACTATGCGCGGTGTGTCTGGGTTGGGTGTGTGTGACGTTTCCGGGAGAACTATACGCGATATGTCTGGGTTGGGTGAGTGTGGGGTTCCCGGGAGAACTATGCGCGGTGTGTCTGGGTTGGGTGAGTGTGGGGTTTCCAGGAGAACTATGCGCGATGTGTCTGGGTTGGGTGAGTGTGGGGTTTCCGGGAGAACTATGCGCGATGTGTCTGGGTGCGTGTGGGGTTTCCGGGAGAACTATGCGCGATGTGTCTGGGTTGGGTGTGTGTGACGTTTCCGGGAGAACTATACGCGATATGTCTGGGTTGGGTGTGTGTGACGTTTCCGGGAGAACTATACGCGATATGTCTGGGTTGGGTGAGTGTGGGGTTTCCGGGAGAACTATGCGCGATGTGTCTGGGTGTGTGTGACGTTTCCGGGAGAACTATGCGCGATGTGTCTGGGTTGGGTGTGTGTGACGTTTCCAGGAGAACTATACGCGATATGTCTGGGTTGGGTGAGTGTGGGGTTCCCGGGAGAACTATGCGCGGTGTGTCTGGGTTGGGTGAGTGTGGGGTTCCTGGGAGAACTATGCGCGGTGTGTCTGGGTGAGTGTGACGTTTCCGGGAGAACTATACGTGATGTGTCTGGGTTGGGTGTATGTAGGGTTCCCGGGAGAACTATGCGCGATGTGTCTGGGTTGGGTGAGTGTGGGGTTTCCGGGAGAACTATGCGTGGTGTGTCTGGGTGAGTGTGACGTTTCCGGGAGAACTATACGTGATGTGTCTGGGTTGGGTGTATGTAGGGTTCCCGGGAGAACTATGCGCGATGTGTCTGGGTTGGGTGAGTGTGGGGTTTCCGGGAGAACTATGCGCGGTGTGTCTGGGTGAGTGTGACGTTTCCGGGAGAACTATACGTGATGTGTCTGGGTTGGGTGTATGTAGGGTTCCCGGGAGAACTATGCGCGATGTGTCTGGGTTGGGTGAGTGTGGGGTTTCCGGGAGAACTATGCGCGGTGTGTCTGGGTGAGTGTGACGTTTCCGGGAGAACTATACGTGATGTGTCTGGGTTGGGTGTATGTAGGGTTCCCGGGAGAACTATGCGCGATGTGTCTGGGTTGGGTGAGTGTGGGGTTTCCGGGAGAACTATGCGCAGTGTGTCTGGGTTGGGGGTGTGGGGGGTTTCCGGGAGAACTATGCGCGGTGTGTCTGGGATGGGTGTTTGTGGGGTTTCCGGGAGAACTGTGCGCGATGTGCCTGGGTGTGTGTGACGTTTCCGGGAGAACTGTGCGCGATGTGTCTGGGTGTGTGTGTGTGGGGTTTCCAGGAGAACAGATCTAATGGTGTGAGCAGTGAGCTCTTTTCTGCACATGTCACAACGCTGTGGATGCACTGGGCCCAGGAAGTGCAGATGCAGCAGCTTCAGGCCGCATGCCCTGCCCCCGTGCCTCCACAACTAGACTCCTAGCTCTGTCCTACCTTAGCCAGCAGGAGGGCTCGGTAACCTCATCTGCCCGTTAAAGCTACATGGTTTTAGTGTATGTAGTAAGCAGGAGACCCGTGTGAAGTGAGCACGCTTTCATCTGGGTCCACGTTCATGGCTCCATTCTCGCTCTCTGATGCCAGGTGAGTCGCTCTGCCTGTCTGATGACGACACAGCTGATCTGTAAGTTGCTGCGGTCCAGGGAGGCGGCGGCGGCTGTGGACGTCAGGACGTGGCCCCTCATCCTGGACACAGGTTGGTGCTTTAGCTGCAGAAGGTGGTTTGCTCACGGCCTTGCTCAGGCTGGATCTGCTGATAGTCATGTTCCTCTCCAGATGATTTGCCAAAGAAGCGGCCTGCCCAGATCTGCAAACCTTGCAACCCAGACACTCTTGCATATCTCGACTTCAGCGTGTCCACAACTGGGATGCTAGCTGGCGTAAAGGTGAGGGGGGTGGCTGCGGGCGGTGGCCATGGAGGCAACTGCGGAGCGTGCTGGAGGTGGCAGGTCACGTGCTGGCTCTCAGCGCCTCTCGTGTAGTCAGACTGAGATGTGGAAAGAGGTATACATACGTGTTTCATTCACGGTATGACACGTATGACCATTTCCATCCTTAACCAGGCTGACTGATTCTGTCCAAATGCCCCAAGTATGTTTTTATGTGAACACTGTCTCAGCTGACAGTAGAACACTGCGAATGTTTTTCTCTTGCTGGTTCTCAAATCCGAACGCTCTGTGATAAATTTCTGCACACTGCACTTTCTAGCGTTTTAACCTGGGCTCTATTAGAAATCATCATGACCCTCTCAGCTCAGATGCCGCCCTTGCCGAGGTGCCGTGCAAACCCCCCCCCGCCCCGCCCCCGCCCCACCCTTGGGGACTTCGCAGCCTTGTGTGCCGTCTGCCCCCATCTGTGGGTCTGACGGGTGAGCTGGCTTTACCTCGCACAGTTCTCACGCTCTGTCCACCTCTTAGTAGAACTGAGGTGGAATACCAAAGTAGCTACAATATGAAATAAAATAATTTTTCAAAAGCTTTTGAAAAGAAATGTTTTCAGATCAAGATGATTTACTTACTGTGGTCTGAAGTTAGCTGTGACCCTCCCACTGTCATAGCCAGAAGAGAAGCAGCTGCTTCCAGTCATACCGTTTCATGGCCCGCTTATAGTCTCAGCGTCTGACGTAGAGTAGACCATCAGAACGTTCCTGGCTGCTTTTCTTTAAGTGGTGTCAATTCCTGTTTCTCTGCTGAAGTCCCGCAAAGGCCCCGCTGGCTTTGTGACCCACAGCCAGGGTGTTGGGAGCAGCCTCTCTTACACCCCATACACGGTTGTCCATGCCCTCGTCTGTGAATTCCCACTGGATCCTGAGGGCAGGGCTGTGTCTTACTCTTCGGTTCATCTCCAGCGCTTAACACAGTGTCTGATCACAAGCTCTCGGTATTTAGTATTTGCTAAGCTGAAGAACTGAATTCTCCACCTAGAAATAGTGCTTTGCACAGAGCAGCAGTTCAGGGCAGGCTTGCTCTAGTTGCTGATCTGAGTGGGTGGGTAATTTTAGGAGGCAGGGTTTGACTAACTCCTAATCCAGGGAGGCAGGAGTCTGGATGGATGTTGTATAAATTCAGTCTCATTTCTCCTTTAAACAAAAATTTGCCTTAAAAGCAAGCTAAAAAGAATTATTTACATTTTACATTTTATAATAATTCTACGTTCCCCTGTATGAATATAGTAAAACAGTTACGAAACCTTCTCCCAGGCAGAACTTCCAATAGTGATGGAACGTTTTACAGTGGGAGGACTCCCACCTCCAAGTTCTCTCACCTCTTGCTGGAGTGATGAATGAATGATGGGGAGCCAGGCATTTGGATTTCCCCAGTTATTACAAGGCTCTGTGCTGGTCCCTTTACAGTTTAGCTCTGGTGACATTCTACTTCAGATCAACTTGTGACATGTTTTTTTGTTTGAGATGGAGTCTTGCTCTGTTGCCCAGGCTGGAGTGCAGTGGTGCGATCTCAGCTCACTGCAACCTCCGCCCTCTTGGTTCAAGCGATTCTCCTGCCTCAGCCTCCTGAGTAGCTGGGACTACAGGCATGCGCCACCACCCCTAGCTAATTTTTTGTATGTTTAGTAGAGATGGGGTTTCACTGTGTTAGCCAGGATGTTCTCGATCTCCTGACCTTGTGATCTGCCCGCCTCGGCCTCCCAAAGTGCTGGGATCACAGGCGTGAGCCACCTTGCCCAGCCGTGACGTGTTTTAAAACCGCAAAAATCAGACCATTTTGTATGCTGCTTTGACTTCCTTTTTCCTCTGAGGTTTGTTTGGCTAGAAAGCTTCTGTGAGAAAATTGATCTTATTAATATATTTTATTGTATTTCAAAATAATTGACATTACACACAGACTGTAGGGGGACTATTACAGGGATTAGGGAAGAGGAAGATGCGGAAGCTCTTCACTGTCTGGTCATGATGGGATGATTGGATTTTAGCCACCATCTCCATGCAGGATGGTGGAAGATAGTGAAGGGCCCTGGAGTGTAGGAGGACCTGGGCTCTAACTCCTAGCTCTAACTTATGTCACAGGCAGCAAAATCTTTAACTTCTGTGAGCCTTCACTTTCTGATCATTAAGACAGCTGAGCCACCCAGCAGGTCTTGCTGGCCACATGCTGCACAGCAGAGGCTATGTCCAGCCGTGGAGATAGCCGTGAATAAGACAGGGCCTCGACCAGCAGAGGAATGCACCGTGGTGCCTCCCCTACCTGTGGGACGGTGTGTTAGAGAGAGGGTCACACGAGGCCAGGCGCGGTGTCTCGTGCCTGTAATCCCAGCACTTTGGGAGGCCGAGGCGGGTGGATCACGAGGTCAGGAGATCGAGACCATCCTGCCTAACATGGGGAAACCCTGTCTCTACTAAAAATACAAAAAATTAGCCGGGCGTGGTGGCGGGCGCCTGTAACCCCAGCTCCTTGGGAGGCTGAGGCAGGAGAATGGTGTGAACCTGGGAGGCGGAGTTTGCAGTGAGCGGAGATCGCACCACTGCACTCCAGCCTGGGCGACAGGGCAAGACTCCATCTCAAAAAAAAAAAAAGAGAGAGAGTGGGTTACACGAGAACCCCTTCCTCCATGACTTGCTGTTCAAACGCACTATTTCAATAGCTAGAGTTGCTAGGTCCTGGAGGACCAACAGTTCTGAGTGAGGTTTACTCATTGAAAATGAGAACTCCAGTGAAAATATCAGCCACTCACATTCCCCAGACACAACATAGCCCAGCTTGGTGACAGTTGTCGCCAGTCCTAAAAACAGCTTTGGGCCTTTGGGGCCAGGTATCGTGCATTTGTTGTTCTTTTGGGTTTTGTTCTCTAAAATTTATTGAAGAGACAGGGTCTCACTCCGTTGTCCAGGCTGGAGTGCAGTGGTAATCATAGCTCACTGCAGCCGGGAACTCCTGGGCTCAAGTGACCATCCCACCTTGGCCTCCTGAAGTGTTTTGATTACAGGTATGAGCCACTGCACCAGGCCAGCATACATTTCATTTGGCCTTATTGTCTTAAAGATGTCTTTGGGTGTCAGGCCCCACGCATTTAATGCGGCTTTATTGTCTTGTAGGTATCCTTGGGTATGAAGTCCCATGCATTCAGTGCAGCCCCGTATTGTCCCGGGTGTCTGAGGGTGTCAGGCCCGATGCGTTCAACACAGCCTTGCGTTCAGTGCAGCCCCGTATTGTCCCGGGTTTCTGAGGGTGTCAGGTCCGATGCGTTCAAAACAGCCTTGCGTTCAGTGCAGCCCCGTATTGTCCCGGGTGTCTGAGGGTGTCAGGTCCGATGCGTTCAACACAGCCTTGCGTTCCCTGCAGCCCCGTATTGTCCCGGGTGTCTGAGGGTGTCAGGTCCGATGCGTTTAACACAGCCTTGTATTTTGCAGATGTCTCACGCAGCCACCAGTGCCTTCTGCCGTTCCATTAAGCTGCAGTGTGAACTTTACCCCTCTAGAGAAGTGGCCATCTGCCTGGACCCTTACTGTGGACTGGGATTTGTCCTCTGGTGCCTCTGCAGGTAAGATGCCTCTCTATATCTTTACATTAAAAAAAATCATGCACCTTCCTCTCCAGACCTTAGACCCAGCCAGGCAACCTAAGCACTGCCCCCACACCCCCACTCCTGCCAGAGGAGGCCTGGGGCTTACCCGTGTCCCTCTACTTCTCCTGGTGGACTTGGCTCTCGGGGAAAGCAGCACCTGGGGTGACTTTGACTTTCTGCAGCAGGGAAGGAGCATTTTGGAGAGCCGTCTGTTGCGGACCTTTATTTCTGACAATCAGAAGACTCCCAGGCTCCAGGCTTGGTTCTTATGCCTGTAAAACCTGGCGATGGTGCTGGGCCTGGGTTCTCGCTGGGCCAGCAGGCATTGCAGGCTGTCACCTCCCTCAGGCTTCACCCCAGCTGTTACTGCGGGGCTTAGGCTGGGCAAGCCCAGAGGTGAGTCCACGAGGGCTGAGCGTTCCCTGGGGTGCGGCACTCTACCCAGCAGCCGGCTCGGAGCCTGGCTTACAGCAGGTGCTCAGCAAGTATTTATGGGATGAATGAATGACCAGAAAAACTTATGGATGTTTCTTGGCTTTTTTGTCTGATTATACATACATGTTCATTGTAGAAATTATAGAAAATATGAAGAAGAAAATAAAGCCATCAACAATCATAGCACCTGATAAAGAGTGTTACCAATAAATACCCACTATTAGCATTGGGCATATAGTTTTCAGAGTTCATTTTCTAATGGAGCGTTTTCAAGCAAGTAAGCATAGAGCATGTCCAGTAATAAACACCCGTGACCATCATCCAGCTTCACATTTCAGCATTTTAGCAGTTTTGTATTATCCGCCTGCTTTCCCCCCTTTTTTTTTAAATGGGTATTTTAAAGCTAACACAAACATAAAAATAATTTCACTCATAAATCTTCTTTACACATTTTATGAATAAATATATGTTAATATATTTATAAAACTGAGACGCTACAGTATGAAATTGGTTATGATTTTCTCAAAATTTATAGTGGATCTTTTATCTTTTTTTTTTTTTGAGACAGTCTTGCTCTGTCACCCAGGCTGAAGTGCAGTGCCACAATCTCAGCTCACTGCAACCTCTGCCTCCTGGGTTCCAGCGATTCTCATGTCTCAGCCTCCCGAGTAGCTGGGATTAGAGGTGCCTGCCACCACGCCCTGCTAATTTTTGTATTTTTAGTAGAGACAAGGTTTCACCATGTTGGCCAGGCTGGTCTTGAACTCCTGACCTCAAGTGATCTGCCCGCCTCGCCCTCGTGCGCCACCGCACCCAGTCAGATTTTTTTCTCCTGTCAACACTCTTCTGGAACAAATATTTTTAATGTGTGACTAATATTTAATAGTATTAAGTTGTATTAAAATGTAATTCTGTATTTTTGAAAAATACCGATATTCTAATTAGGACAATTCAGCTTTTTGAGAAAGCAGATAAAACTGAATAAATGAAATATTTAATGATTTTTGCCTCAATCCAAAATGCCATAACATTGTGAGTAAATTTTTTTTTCTTGGAAAATCGCTCAGAACATGGCCTCAGGTATATGCGCCAAGCTGAACGGCAGAGGTCTGTTCTGAACAACGGCCCTTGTAGGGTGACCGTATTTCATTTGGCAAAGTATACCAGTAAAACTGAAGCCAGCCGATGGAAGCCTCCTGCCTGCAGGCTTACCAAGCCTGGCTCCCCATGGAAACCAGAGAGAAGATGTTTGTTGCAGGGAAAGTAAGTTCTCCGTGTGAACCCACAATAACAATACACTCTTTAAGGGTTTGTCCAGGTTGCGATGAAATTTGACAAGCATCTTTCCTGCAAAATGTTACTAACTCAGAAGTCACAAGATCACAGTATTCTGTTGATTGCCCTTGCAACAGTCAAAATAAATATAGCCATGAATCTTCCCATTAAAAAAGAAAAAAATCTCTATAGAAACAGATCCCAATGGACTTGCTTTTAAAAAACAAAAAAAGCACTTGGGTCCTAGATCCACAATGACTAATACATAAGTTAAAAATAATAATGACTTCCCTTTCCCATGCAGTTCAGCAGGTCTGGGAAGAGAATCAGGCAGAAGAGGCCCTGGGGGTGTAAATTTGAGGACGCCTCGACCTCAGGCTGTGCTCCTAAGAGTGTAGCAGGGTGGGGAGTGTGTCTTGGTGGGGGCAGCCGCGCAGGGTGCCCAAGCCCACGTCGGAGGAGGGGAGTCCACAGAGGGGTGTCCTGGCGTGGGCTGTGGGAGCCAGGCAGGGTGCATTGTGGGAGCCAGGCAGGGTGCAGGGTGCAGGTGGCGTGGGCTGTGGGAGCCAGGCAGGGTGCAGGGTGCAGGTGGGGTGGGCTGTGGGAGCCAGGCAGGGTGCAGCGTGCAGCGTGCAGGTGGCGTGGGCTGTGGGAGCCAGGCAGGGTGCAGCGTGCAGGTGGCGTGGGCAGTGCCAGCCAGGCAGGGTGCAGCGTGGGGGAGTCAGAGCTTGTTCTAAGAATCGGCAGCAGCCGAGGGAGATCGGCTCCGTGTGGGGAATTAGAAATCAGTGCGGCCAGGCGTTAGTCATGGGGGTACGTTCCAAATGGGCGATTTCATTATGTAAACATGGAGTTTGCTTGCACAGACTTGGCTGGTACAGCCTGACACACCCAGTCCGCAGTCCTGTGCAGCGTGTTAGTGCACTGAATGCTGTGGGCAGCGGTAACGTGATGGTAAGTGGTCGTGTGTCGAGACATATTTAAACACAGAAAAGGTACAGTAAAAAGATGGTATAGAAGGTGGGAAAAAAAAAAAAAAACTGTGTAGGGCATTTCCCATGACTGGAGCTGGCAGGAGTGGAGGTTGCCCAGGTGAGTTGGCGAGTTGGTGAGTAAGCGGCACCTGAACGTGAGGCCAGGACACGACTGCACACTATTGTGGCCTCTGTAAATACCAGACACTTTGGCTACGCCAAGTTTGTCAAAAATATTTTTAGTTCTTCAGTAATAAATTAACCTTCGCTTACTGTAACTTTTTAACCTTAACGTTTTAATTTGTAACATTTTTGACTCATCTATAAAAACACTTAGCTTATAACACAAACACATTATACAACTATACAAAAATAATTTATCTCCTTTATAAGCTGCTTTCTATTAAATTTTAAAAAACATTTGAAGCTTTTGTTAAAAACTAATATATACACGCATACACATCAGCCTAGGCCTCCACAGCACACACACAGCTTCCTAGGCCTCTACAACACACACACACGCACACACACACACGACTGTCTAGGCCTCCACAGCACACACATACACATCAGCCTAGGCCTCCACAACACACACACACAGCTTCCTAGGCCTCTACAACACACGTGCACACACATCAACCTAGGCCTCCACAACACACACACACAGCTGCGTAGGCCTCCACGACACACGTGCACACACACAGCTGCCTAGGCCTTCACAGAACACACACACACATCAGCCTAGTCCTCCACAACACACACACACATCAGCCTAGGCCTCCACAACACACACACAGCTGCCTAGGCCTCCACAACACACACGCGTACACACACCGGCCTACGCCTCCACAACACACGTGCGCACACACACACAGCTGCCTAGGCCTCCACAGAACACACACACACACATCAGCCTAGGCCTCCACAGCACACACACAGCTTCCTAGGCCTCTACAACACACACGCACGCACACACACACAGACTGTCTAGGCCTCCACAGCACACACATACACATCAGCTTAGGCCTCCACAACACACACGCACACACAATCAGCCTAGGCCTCCACAACACACACACACAGCTACGTAGGCCTCCACGACACACACACAGCTGCCTAGGCCTCCACAACACACACGCGCGCACACACCTGCCTAGGCCTCCACAACACACGTGCACACACACACACAGCTGCCTAGGCCTCCACAGAACACACACACACATCAGCCTAGGCCTCCACAACACACACACACCGGCCTAGGCCTCCACCACACACACTTGCACACACAGACAGCTGCCTAGGCCTCCACCACACGCATGCACACATCAGCCTAGGCCTCCACAACACACACACACACACAGCTGCCTAGGCCTCCACAACACACACACGCACACACACACCAGTCTAGGCCTCCACAACACACACACACACACACACACACCAGTCTAGGCCTCCACAACACACACACACACACACACAGCTGCCTAGGCCTCCACAACACACACACACACAGCTGCCTAGGCCTCCACAACACACACAC
This sequence comes from Homo sapiens, assembly GCF_000001405.40. Taxonomy (NCBI): domain Eukaryota; kingdom Metazoa; phylum Chordata; class Mammalia; order Primates; family Hominidae; genus Homo; species Homo sapiens. The sequence goes on along the minus strand of NC_000010.11, from coordinate 336,950 downwards.
ACGCGCACACACCAGTCTAGGCCTCCACAACACACACACACACACACACACACACCTGCCTAGGCCTCCACAACACGCGCACACACACCAGTCTAGGCCTCCACAACACACACACACACAGCTGCCTAGGCCTCCACAGGGCCAGGGTGTTCAGTGTCACTGTTTTCCCCTCCACCTCTTGTCCCACTGGAGGGCCTTCAGGGACAGGACGCAGACGGAGCCATGATCTCCTAGGATAACAATACCTTCTCCTGGAAGACCCTCCTGAAGGACCCACTGAGGCTGTTTTACAATTTACTTTCTTTTTTATAAGTAGGAGGATGCTGTAAAATAACAAAGTACAGTAAATTCATAAACCAGTAACAGTTGTTTGTCATCATGGTTAAAGTATTAAGTTGTGTACATAATTGTATATGCTCATCAAAAACCTAATCCACCGTGCCCAAGTAGGCTTCATCTCTAAGATGCTAGGTATCATATGCAAATAAAAAAATGTGATTCATCGTGTAAACAGAACTGAAGACATGATTGTATGTGCTGTGCTTTTATATGACTGGCAGCACAGGTTTGTTTAGACCAGTTACCACCACCAACACAAGTAACGTGGTGTGCTTCAGCATCTCTAGGCAGTAGAAATTTTTCAGCTTCGTTACAGGCTCATGAGACCACCATTGTACACGGACCCATCCTTGACCAAAGCATCGCTATCCTGGGACCTCAGGGATGCTGATTTTTAAATTTTTTTTTAGAGATGGCGTCTTGCCATGTTGCCCAGGCTGGTTTTGAACTCCTGGGCTCAAGCTATCCTCCCACCTCAGCCTCCCAAAGTGTTGGAATTATAGGCATGAACCACCACACCTAGCCTACAAAAACATTTTTTTTTTAGTTAGCCGGGTGTAGTGGTGTGCGCCTGTGGTCCCAACTACTTGGGAGGCTGAGGTGGAGGATCACTTGAGCCTGGGTGGTTGAGGTTGCAGTAAGCTGAGATCACGCCACTGCACTCAAGCCTGGGTGACAGAGCGAGACCCTGTCTCAAGAATAAAGATTGCAACAGGTTGTAACACTTTGAGTAAAATAGGAAATTTTCCAACTATTCAGATACACAGATGAACAAATGGAAAGCTTGATGAGAAGTGAGGATTTCTATAGTAGCCATCCACGAAATAGTTAAAGGAAAGAGAGTCTTCATGGTGGAAAAGCCTGAACCAGCTGGTCCAGGCAAACCTCAGTGATGGTGAAGCCTGTAGCACACAGCGGGTGGGATGAAGAGAGCCGCATCCGCGATACTCCTGCCGAAGATGCCTGTCCTGGATCTCCCCATGTGGAAGCACCAGCCCCCAAGTTAGGGGACTGATTGGACAATGCACCTGCCTAGAATCTTCCCAAAGCCTGGTGTCGTGAGAGTCACGGAAACATCCAGAAACTCGCTCTGGGCAGCGGGAAGCTGAGAGCCGACCACTTTCTTGCAGTGTGCCTGTGCAAACTGGGTAATTGGGGATGGCTAGAGAAACTTGAACAGGGTCTGAGCTGGGACAGGAGGAATGCGTTGGTTTTCTGATTTTGATGGCTTAGGTGTTTATGGAGGAAAATAGACTTGTTTGTTGGAAATCCCCCCTGAAGTGTCTGGGATTACGCATCAGGTCAGTGATTCACCATTAGATAATCCAAGGAGAGAGAATTATTTTAAACGTACTTGTACATTTTCTATAACTTTGTGATTGTTTGAAAGTTAAGTAACACAAATAATTTGTGTCCTCATCCTAAAGCTTTCTTCTGTCATAGAGGATTGTTTATCTGAGACATATGAGTATAATGGTATTGTTTCAAAATATTTTTTAAGATTACACCTGTTTTTAAAAATTGTGTCAGATAGCCTGTATTCATGTATTGGAAGATTCAATATTATTAAAATGGTAGTTCTCCCCACATTGCTTTATAGGTTCAATGTAATTCCTACCAAAATCTTGGCAGGCTATTTTTTGGGGGTTTTTTGGGGCAGAAATTGATAATATCCTGAAGTAAATATAAAGGACCCACAATAGTGAAAGCAGTTTTAAAATAGGTTAACAAAATTGGAGAATTCAGAACTTCTCATTCCTGATTTCAAAAATATTGCAAAGCTGCAATAACCAGAACAATGTACTGGCATTGAGATAGAGTGATTATATATATGAGAAACAGAATTGAGAGTCCAGAAATAAACCCTTATATTTATGGTCAAATAATTTTTTAATAGAGTTACCCGAGCAATTCAATGAAGAAAAGTTTTTCCAACAACAGATGCTGGGAAATTCGGACATTCACATGAAAAGGAAAAAAGATTAAACCTTGACTCAACGTCATATACCTAAGTTAGTTCAAGTGGATCATAGATCTTAATGTAAGAGCAAAAATTATAAAAATTTTAGAAAACACAGGAGTAAATTTTCATAATCTTGGTTAGGCACAGAGTTCATCAAAGGTATACTACATAAATACTGATAAACTGGACTGGAACAAAATTTAAAACTTTTGTATATCAAAAGACAGAATTAAGTAGAAAGACAAGCCACAGTCTGGGAAAAAATATTTGCAAATTATAAATCTCATGAAGCACTTCTAAGCACCTATGTAATAAATTTTTTCTTTTTTTTTTTTTTTTTTTTTGAGACAGTCTTGCTCTGTCACCCGGGCTGGAGTGCAGTAGCTTGATCTCAGCTTACTGCCACCTCTGCCTCCAAGGTTCAAGTGATTCTCCTGCCTCAGCCTCCCAAGTAGCTGGAAGTACAGGCATGCACCACCACACCTGGCTATTTTTTTTGTATTTTTAGTAGAGACAGTGTTTTGCCATGTTGGCCAGGCTGGTCTTGAACTCCTTACCTCAAGTAATCTGCCCGCTTCAGCCTCCCAAAGTGCTGGGATTACAGGCGTGAGCCACTGCACCCAGCCTATGTAATAAACACTCAAAACTCAGAAACAAGCAACATAAACACGGGCAAGAGATCTGAATAGATATCTCACCAGAAGAAGACATACAAATGGCCAATAAGGACGTGAAAAGATACCTAGCGTTAATTAGGGAAATGCAAATTAAAACCACAGTGAGATACCACTTCACACCCACTAGAATGCTGTCACCGAAAACACAGGAAATAAAGTTGGAGAGCTCGTGTTTTCTGACTTCAAAACTTACACTGCAAAGCAACAGTAACCAAGAAGGTGGAAAAACGAATTCTCATACATTGATAGTGGGAATGTAAAATGGGGAAGCCACTGTTTGGCATGATCTTAATTAAGCAGACTTGCTGCATTGACTCAGCAGCTGCACTCCTAGGAGAAAGGAAAGCGAACATCCACTCAGAGACTTGGTGTAAGTTCCCTGGAACCTCGGTCAACACAAGGAAACAATCCAGGTATCCGCTAGCAGGTGACTGAACAGGTGACGCCTGCCACGTCCACATGGTGGGTGCTTCTGCACAGGATGAGCTCAGAAGCACCTGCTGAGGGAGGGAAGTGTGGCTGTGTGGTAGGCAGTGTCCAGAAAAGGCAAATTTGTAAACAAAGTAGAATGATGACTGGGGCTAGGGCTGGAAATGGGACTGACTGCAGATGGACACGGGATCCCTTTCAGGTGATGGGAATGTTCTAGAGTAGTGACCATTTTACAACTCTTCAATTTTATTAAAAGCCATTCTGTGCTTAAAATGAGTGAAACTTAGGGTATGCAAAGTATACCTAAATAAAGCCGACGGGTGTTTTAAAAAGAATAGGCCGGGTGCGGTGGCTCATGCAGGTAATCCCAGCACTTTGGGAGGCTGAGGTGGGTGGATCACTTGAGGTCAGGAGTTTGAGACCAGCCTGGCCAACATGATGAAACCTCGTCTCTGCTAAAAATACAAAAATTAGCCTGGCGTGGTGGCACACGCCTGTCATCCCAGCTACTCAGGAGCATGAGGCAGGAGAATCACTTGAACCCAGGAGGCAGAGGTTGCATTGAGCCAAGAATGCACCACTGCACTCCAACCTGGGCGACGGAGTGAGACTCTGTCTCAACAATAAAAAATAATAAAGTGCTTCATTGCAGTAACTCAAGTGTGTAGGGAGACCCTGGGCTGGATGGCATGCCTGCTGGCAGACAGGGTATGACCCAGGACCCCCAGGTGAGATGAACCTGTCTTGTTGAATTCCCAAGTTAGGAGAGTTTTCAGTTGTTGGTATATTTTGTCAGGTTAGTAATCTGAAATCATCAAATTGCTAATGTGCGAATGTGTATTACTTACCAAAATGTCTATTTTTATTCTTTTTGAAGTTAAGATCTGAAGAACAGCTCAGGTTCCCAACATTCTCAGAGAATAATGTCTTGAGAATAAGCAACCTGCTCTTAAGTAGGTTTGTCTTGTCCATAGCAGAATTTATTGCCAGTGCCAAAAATCAATTTTGGCTAATACAGCAATTAATCAAAATTTGCTGTATTGAGTGAGGTAAGGGCAATTAGGAAATCATGAGTTGGGTTTTCTATTTGTTTCTGCTGTCAAGATTTGTGTTTTCTTAATGTTGATTTCTTATTTATGGTGATGAGGAGGGAGGTGAAACTATATTTAGTTTTCACAAGTATATTTGAAATTCTCTGGCCAGGAATTCACACTGGGTTCCCAAGCCCGTTGTGTGCTGACAATTCTGACAGAGCAAATCATTAATGCTGATGTGTATTTTTGAGGAAGCCACTTCCAGGGACACTTAGAAATGGTTAAAATGACTTTGGGTGTCCGAGGCAGGAGGATTGCTTGAACCTAGGCGTTCAAGACCAGCTTGGGCAACATAGTGAGACCCCATCTCCACAAAAAAAGTTTTAAGTTAGCCAGTCATGGTGGTATGTGCCTCTAGTCTCTAGTCCCAGTCATGGTGGTACGTGCCTCTAGTCCCAGATACTTGGGAAGTGGGAGGATCACTTGAGCCCATGAGGTCAGGGCTACAGTGAGCTGTGATCACACCACTGCACTCTAGCCTGGGTGACAAAGTAAGACTCTGTCTCAGAAAAAAAGAAAAGAAGTGGTTAATATGGTAAATGTTATGTTACATATGTTTTACCACAGTAAAATTTTTAAAACTAAGATGAAATGGCCAGTTTACAGCAGAGTAAAAATTCGAGGCCTGATATTCACCCCTTATGTGCCTAACCCTGTTCTCAAAGTATTAAACCCTTGGAAAGGTCACTATTTGCTAGAAAGTCGTCCCTCGGTGTCCACGGAGGAGATAGGTTCCGGGACCACTGCAGAAAGCAAAGAGCGAGGATGCTCAAGTCCCTGATATAAAATGGCATCATACGAGCACATCACCTATGCACTTCCTCTCTCATGTTTTAAATAATTTCTGGATTACTTGTAATACCTAACACAATGTAAATGCTGTGTGAATAGTTGTACTATGTTGTTTAGTCACTAATGATAAGAAAATCTACAAGTTAGGTATAGATGCAGATTTTTTCATGAATATCTTTGATTCATGGTTGAAGCCAGGGGTGAGGAACCCACAGACACAGAGGGCTATGTGTCCTTTTGAAAAGAATAAATCAAGCTTTGGAATAAGAATGAGGAAAGAAATGGAAAATTGCCCAAAAACGCCTTTGTCACATTTGCCGAAGAGTAGTTTTTCATACTAAGGGTCCCGTTTGAAATAAATTTTGTTAGCCAACCTAACTTCCTTACATTTCTTTAGTTGGATTCTCTTATAAACAATTATGAAAATTTTTAGATGAGATTGGCTACATTAAAGAACTGGCTTTAGTATTATAGCATAGTAGTTAACAAGGCCTAACTCGTTAATCATAGTGCTGTTTCACTGATAAAATTTTGCGTAGGCCTCTTATGGCAGCTCATGCCTATAATCCTAGCACTTTGGGAGGCTAAGATAGGAGGAGTACTTGAAGCCAGGAGTTTGAGACCAGCCTGGGCAACAATACGAAACCGTATCTACAAAAAAAAAAAAAAAAAAAATTAGCCAGGCATAGTGTTGTGCATCTGTAGTCCCAGCTACTCAGGGACTGAGGTGGGAGGATGGCCTCAGCTTGAAAGGCAGAGGTTATAATGAACCCAGATCACACCACTGCACTCCAGTCTGGGTGACAGAGTGAGACCCTGTCTCAAAAAAAAAAAAAAAAAATTGTGTAGGTTGGGCATGGTGGCTCATGCCTGTAATCCCAACACTTTGGGAGGCCAGGCACATCTTACATGGCCACAGCAGGAACAAGAGAGGATTGCTTGAGCCCCGAAGTTCAAGATGAGCCTAGGCAACATAGACCCTACCACTGAAAAAAAAAAAAAACAAGCATGGTGGTGCACACCTGTGGTCCTACTGACTCAGGAGAGGCAGGAGAATTGCTGGAGCCCAGGAGTTTGAGGTGACAGGTAGCTATGATTACACCACCCTACTCTAGCCTGGGCAACAGAACGTTCCCGTTAATTAAATTGTAAATCTTAGAACGTGATTTATCTAGGATATTTTATTTTAATGTATGGTATCTATTGTGAATTCATAGTAGTAAACAAAATTAAAACCATTAAAAATGTAGTTTTGACAAGTTGTTAAATCCACACTTACCCCATCAATTGATAAAATATGTAATCTATCACTTTTTCATTTCTCTAAATCTGTTCTCTAGTATGAAGGTAAAATTAAAGAATCGTTATTTTTCTCTATTTCTTCTGTTTGGTAATTCGTTGGGATCCTTTTTAGTAAAAATCTGATCTTAAAAAGATTGAGTGACTAACTTTAATTACCATAATTGTCTTTTTTTCACCCTGGCTGTCAGTTTTCTAAACCAGGTATAGGCCTGCTCTTTATTAAATTGCTGTTTGGTAAATATTTTAGGTTCTGTGGTCTCTGACCACTCAGCTCAAAGCCACTGGAGACAATATTTAAACAAATGAGTGGTGGTGGCCCTGTTCCAATAAAACTTTATTTACAAAAACAGGAAGTGTCTGTGGTTTGCCAGCTCCTGTTCTGAAGCTGGACTTTTTTTTTTTAAACCGAAATTTGATCCCTGTGTTTTCTACTAAGAAAGAGGATCCAGTTTGCTGATGTCGCAGGTCTGAGAGACATCACAGCATCACAGCGTTTAGTAGTCTTAAATGTGTGTTCAAAGTGGTAGGAACTGCCCCATGATTCTGTAGTACGTATTTGCTTTTCAGAAGGCTTTCGTGAACATGGTTGCAGTTTGCAGCGTTGGCTTTACTGTGCCCTTCTACAGATGGCAGCACGGGCTGTTCCAAGTCCTCCTTTTCCTTGGAGTCAGTGCTGCCCTGAGCCCTCCAGCCTTGCTGAGCTCCAGCCTTGCTGAGCTCCCGCCCTGACAGCCTCTTCTTTCTCTGCAGTGTGTATTCTGGGCACCAGTCCATCCTGATCCCGCCCTCTGAGCTGGAAACCAACCCCGCCTTGTGGCTTCTTGCCGTGAGTCAGTACAAAGTCCGAGACACGTTTTGCTCCTACTCCGTGATGGAGCTGTGCACCAAGGGGCTGGGCTCGCAAACAGAGTCCCTCAAGGTAAGCAGCTCCCTTGGCAGCTCAGTGCCCTGTGAGCCCACAGGGACTCCTTTCTAAGAAGGCACATCTGTGATGGGGTGAAGTTAAAACAGTCCTCCAAAACAAAGCCTGGGTTTAATCTAACGTCACCTGAAGCTTACAAACTGCCTTTATATGAAAATCTTTTTAACGTGAATATTTCCCCACGACCACAGACAGTAACGAACCAGAATGTAAAATATTTTCAATGCCTGTCATTCCACTGGGTCTACTTGAAAGATCCTAAATTTGATTTTTTGTTGGGTGGATTCAGTGTTCTGAAGTGTTCAGTGTTCAGAAGATCTTAGGTGATGTTAACTTTATTTGATACTGGTGTTTAAGAAGGTAGGTTTGAATTTAGCCGCTCACTTTTATTTTCCCTGGAGACCCTGATTTCTGGGTCTGGACCCTAAGCTCAATTCATTTTACAGTTCAGTTAACAGTGTTGTGTTTCATTTTTTAATAATTGCTATTATGTAAGAATAATAGTATTTCCCTCCATTTAAACCAAGGACATTTTGATACGTATATCTTCATGGTAAATTAAGTAGTCCTTAGCTCCAAGTAACTAGGAGGGAATAATCATCTGACCAGTTTTGATAAAATTTCAACTGACTTTGTACTCTTTGGATGTGTGTATGTCTTTGTATATACATGGATTGTGTTTGTGTTTCTGTCATCTACACAGAGATCAATAACGGAACAGTACATTTATCTGTCCTGCATTGTTTTCCTAATGCATAAAGCTTGGACAGGAAAGCAAAATGCAAGATAACTTTATGTAACATAAGTAATTGTGCAATCATTTTAAGTTTTTATATAGGAAAAAGTTAGCACTATTCATGTTCATCTATATTGTATTAGAAAGTGAGTACATTTTCATGACCTTCCTGTTGGCACATATATAAATAACCAGAATAAAATCATGACATAGTTGAGGGTCAGTATGCAATTTACGTATTCATTTCATCCTTACAATAGCTCTCTGAAATAGGAGCCCTTATTGTCTCCATTTTAAAGCTGAGGAAACTTATGTCATAGAGAAATTAAGCAACCTTTCCAGGTTCTTAGGCTGAACGAACCTGGAGCCAAATTTAGAATCTTTGGCTTCAGACCTGCTGTTGCAGCTGCATGCTGCTTTACCTCTCAGACGTGCGCGCGTGTGAATATGTAATTTGTGTCACCCAGACTTGAGTTTTTCCTGTTTAACTCTGTGTGTACAGTCGTGTCTGTACACTGAGCACGAATGTCAAAGCCAGCTCGAGCTGTGCGTCCTCCTTGCTCAGGACCCTTGTCGGTTGTCCGTGTGCCGAGGCTGCCTTGAAAGGGTTCGCAGGGCCTGACGGTTGGGGTTTTGGTGGCCGCCCCCTTAGCAGCTCTGGGTTCCACTCCAAGACGCAGACATTCACGGCTCGCCTTCACATTCACAAGCCATTCCTGTCGCTCCCTTACTTTCCCTCTGCTCGGCCCAGGTAGTGCCACAGAGTGAGCTGAGCTTAACTCCTTGAATTCCTGTATGACTTTTTCTGTTGTGCTCGGCTGACTGAATTTGGTGTGGAAACTGAGATGTTGTTAATCTTTTGCTTACTGTGGAAACAGACACGCTTGAGAATGAGAAGAAATTCTTGGCGTAATGGGACATAAATGGAGCACTGTCTATGAAGTCATCCAAAAATTTTAGTTTTATATTCCTATATATTAAAATGTAGGTTTTCAGGCTGGGTGTGGTGGTACATGTCTGCAGTCCCAGCTACTTGGGAGACCACAAGGTGGGAGGGTCACTTGAGCCGAGGAGTTCAACTCCAGCCTGGGCAGCATAGCAAGATCCCATCTCTTTTACATGTAGATTTTTCCCGTTCCTCTCCAGTGTGTGTTCTGGTACATCCATGCCCAGAAGAATGTATCAGATGGCTCTCTTTTCCCGAACGGCCTTTCATCGTCTCAGCCAGGAAGTTGCTTTTCCTCAACCTTTTTCCTCATAACAGTTCTTGCTGTGGCTCCAGGTGGTTGTTTGAGACGTGTTTGTAATTCCATTCTTAATCATTTGAATAGTTGTGTGAATGTTTTTTCACCAACTCCTGGTTTGTTATATTGAAGAAGTGGACACAGGTGGCCCTGGAAATGCATAGCTGTGTTGAGTTTTCCAATGTTTACGTGGGGATCTGTGGGAAGGAGTCTCTGGCTCACTCCAAGCTCGACACGTGGGGGCTGACTCGGTTTCTCTGTCATCATCTCCAGGCGCGAGGGCTGGACTTGTCCCGAGTGAGGACCTGCGTGGTTGTGGCGGAAGAGAGGCCTCGGATCGCACTCACACAGTCGTTCTCAAAGCTGTTTAAGGACCTGGGCCTTCACCCGCGGGCCGTCAGCACCTCGTTCGGTTGCAGGGTGAACCTGGCGATTTGCTTGCAGGTGAGATTCGGCGACATCACAGTGCTGAGTGGGAAGTGTGGCTCCCGGGGTGGGTACAGCACAGACTGGCTCCACTCGTCTCCCTCGGCTGATGCTTAGCTACATCCAGAAGAGATCTTTCAGTCACACGCATGCGGTTGGTGCAGATCTCTGTTTCTTTAAACTACAGTCTACGTTCGTATCCATTATTCATAACAAGCATTCATAGGACTTACTCTGTCCTGGAACATTTTAACTTTTGTGACAGGGGTAGCAGTTTGTCCAGACCTCTGCTGTTCGACTTTTTAAAGATTAGATACTAGACAGATGAAGAAACCAGTCCCTCGAAGTACTTAGTCCCACGCGTGTAGACGATCGCTGTAGGAAGAACTTAATGACATTGAGCAGGTTCTGGGATTTGCTGCTGCAATGGCATTTTAGAAACCGCAAAGCCGCACTTCTGGGAAACAGGCGTAAGTGAAGCAGCTCTAGCAAGACAGCCTTGCATTAACAGTGGCTGACAAGCTGCAGGCAGAGCTGCGGATTTCCTTCCTGGAAGAATAAGGGCTTCCCTCTCAGCAGGTGCTGGTGAGGCAAACGGTTGGTGTGCATCCCTCCACCTCCCTCTCCCCACCCCCTATCCTACTTGTGATCCCAGAGTGATTGCTTAAGGTTGCTGCTGGGTGAGCCTCCGAAGGCTCCCTCTGCCCTTTTCACGCCTGTCTAGGTGCTTGGAGTTAGCCACTAGGTCAGAGGAGGGAACCTCCTCTCTTCCCGAGATCACTTCAGAAAAAGTAGCTGCAAAAAGCTTTTCTTGATTTTTCTTTTACTTTTTTGAGACAGGGTATCACTCTGTCACCCAGGCTGGAGTGCAGTGGCGTCATGGCTCACTGCAGCCTCAACCCCCTGCCCCCCGCTCCCAGGCTCAAGCAACCCTCCCACCTCAGCCTCCCACGTGGCTGGGACTACAGGTGCACACCACCACGCCTGGCTAATTTTTAAATTTTTTGTGGAGACGGGGTTTCACCATGTCGCCCAGGCTGGTCTTGAACTCCTCAGCTTAACAATCTGTCTGCCCTGGCCTCCCAAAGTGCTGGGATTACAGACGTGAGCCACTGCACCCGGCCTTTTTTTTAATTTTCATAAACGTGGTGTTCCTTGCTTCTGTCTTGCTTCTCTTTTAATTATTATAATAGCTCCATCTTTAAGAAATTATAAATTACCAAATTTCTCTCAAGAGTCAGTTAAACCTTGTCCTATGATTAAAATAATACCCTTTTCTAAGAGGTCATCTGAAGAATTAGATTTATCTCACCAAACTAGTTCTTAAAATATTGAAGTTTTCTCTGCCTATTCACCTTTTTCTGTTCCTCATAAATGTTTATCGCCATCTATCCCATTAGGAGAAATAGGAAATGCAGAAGTCTGCTTCTTAAGTTCAGCAATAGTGTGATGTCTCACTTGTCTCCATCCACCAGTGACAGGGACCCCCGGGCAAGAGGAAATCAGTGATTTGTGAGAGATGGCACTGGCCATGGCGAGGCTGCTGCTTCTGGCTTTGTCTCTTAAAATGTCAAGGTGGCGCTGAAGGGAGAGAGCAGAGAGTAACCCGTCGCATCGTGCCCTCCAGCAGGTGACAGAGTTCAGCGTGTGGTGTAAAATTGGCCTCTTGTAGAGTACATACATTTATTTTCCTCTTTACTTTTTCATTTATTTCCATCCACCTGGATCCAAAATGTTTTTTTTTTGTTTGTTTGTTTTTGAGATGGAGTATCACTCTGTTGCCCAGGCTGGAGTGCATTGCCGTGATCTGGGCTCACTGCAAGCTCCACCTGCTGGGTTCACGCCATTCTCCTGCCTCAGCTTCCCCAGCATCTGGGACTACAGGTGCTCGCCACCAAGCGCAGCTAATTTTTTGTATTTTTAGTAGAGATGGGGTTTCACCGTGTTAGCCAGCATGGTTTTGATCTCCTGACCTCATGATCCGCCTTCCTTTGCCTCCTAAAGTGCTGGGATTACAGGCATGAGCCACCACGCCCAGCCCCAAAATGTTTTAAGATGGTTTACAAGGAAGGAGTACGCTCAGTAGGAGAAGATAAAATACGTGAAAAAAGAACCAAAACATGGAGATGAAAGAAAAACAGCGCAGGAAAGGGACAGAATGAAGAACAGAGTTGGCGTGCTGGTGTTTTCCACAAGGCTTCTGAAGCGTGCCACCGTCCTTACCTCGGCACCAGGGCGGGGCCTGACACGTGGTGGATATTGAATGAATGTGCGCCGTGGGAGTGTTGAGCACGGTTCTGTATTCTTAATAGGAAATGGCAATATGTTCTTGTGCAGAAGACAATTCTGTCAATATGACCGCTAAATCAAAATTCAGTATTCTAATCATGGGTCATGGCGTTATTTTGCAATCTTGGCAGCATCTTTAAGCATTTTTGTCCATGTTCAGTTTTCTACTTGACCTATCCCTAACTCCTTTCGGTCAGCATTTCCTTGTCTGCATAGTATTGGAAAATAGTTGGAAGTATCCAAGTGTCTACCAGCAGAGAGAAATTAAATTTATGTACAAAGCAATGCGAGCTCACCTCCCCTTCCCAGAATCTTTGAGGGCAGGTGTGCTTCGGAATTAGGTTTCTGGCTTTGTGAGAGGTGATGTGGCACAGATGCCATGCATGATGCCACAGCTCAGTATCACATGTGCCAGTGTTCCTGCAGCAAGGAAGGGTGGGGGCCCCAGACTTGAAGGGGCTCATGTCAGCCTATGTCAAATTTTACTACAAAGAAACTTATGACAAAGTTTGTGCCATCATCAAACATTTCTCACAGTCAGTGAGTTGGACGGTAGGCATGTAGATAATTTTTTCAGGAAGTGACTCATTTTAGTAAAAGCGAGCAGTGAGAGGATAGAGTGCCACGAACACGGGGAGGCGTTCTGGGGGAGGGCAGTCAGGAACGCTTCAGCAGAGCACAGTGAAAGGGCGGAGTCGTGCGGGCGAGAGTCCAGCGAAGGCAGCCGTAAGTGCAGAGGCTACAGGCAGAGCTGGTCTTTGGAAACACTCATTTTCTAGAATCTGCAAAATTAAAAAAACCTGATGGTGATAGAAACAAGCAGAGTGGAGAAGCCCAGGATCCAGCGGCAGAAACCACCTCTCGCTCCCTGGCTCTCCATAGAGCCCAGCACACAGGACATGCCTGGTACATTAAATGTACGGACCACACTGCTCATGAGTCCTAATAAGGAAAGCCTGAAATGTTTCTGAATTTTCTATACATTGAATTTATTTTTCTTTATAAAAGAATATTTTAGAAAACAAAATCAGAAAATACACTTTAGCTTATAAATAACAGTCATAAACCCATCTACCCTGAGATAATCACAATTAATCATTTGATGTAAAAAATCAAAAACACAAAAAATTAAGACACTGCCAGAATTCCAAACCTTGTACCTAAATATTTAAAGATGTTGAAAAATGTAGCTTTCAGTTTGAAGCAGCAGCATCGTGAGTGAGTGTGGAAACGGGGGTGTCTGCTCTCAGACTGACTGCGTTCTAACAACGCTGGTCTCTCGCTGGAGCCCCGCACCCCCGACTGACTGTTCTAACAGCGCCGGTCTCTCGCCGGAGCCCCGCACCCCCGACTGACTGTTCTAACAGCGCCGGTCTCTCGCTGGAGCCCCGCACCCCCGACTGACTGTTCTAACAGCGCCGGTCTCTCGCTGGAGCCCCGCACCCCCGACTGACTGTTCTAACAACGCCGGTCTCTCGCCGGAGCCCCGCACCCCCGACTGACTGTTCTAACAACGCCGGTCTCTCGCCGGACCCCCGCACCCCCGACTGACTGTTCTAACAACACTGGTCTCTCACTGGAGCCCCGCACCCCCGACTGACTGTTCTAACAGCGCCGGTCTCTCGCCGGAGCCCCGCACCCCCGACTGACTGTTCTAACAGCGCCGGTCTCTCGCCGGAGCCCCGCACCCCCGACTGACTGTTCTAACAACACTGGTCTCTCGCCGGAGCCCCGCACCCCCGACTGACTGTTCTAACAGCGCCGGTCTCTCACTGGAGCCCCGCACCCCCGACTGACTGTTCTAACAACACTGGTCTCTCGCCGGAGCCCCGCACCCCCGACTGACTGTTCTAACAGCGCCGGTCTCTCGCCGGAGCCCCGCACCCCCGACTGACTGTTCTAACAGCGCCGGTCTCTCGCCGGAGCCCCGCACCCCCGACTGACTGTTCTAACAACACTGGTCTCTCGCCGGAGCCCCGCACCCCCGACTGACTGTTCTAACAGCGCCGGTCTCTCGCTGGAGCCCCGCACCCCCGACTGACTGTTCTAACAACACTGGTCTCTCGCCGGAGCCCCGCACCCCCGACTGACTGTTCTAACAGCGCCGGTCTCTCGCCGGAGCCCCGCACCCCCGACGGACTGTTCTAACAGCGCCGGTCTCTCGCCGGAGCCCCGCACCCCCGACTGACTGTTCTAACAACACTGGTCTCTCGCCGGAGCCCCGCACCCCCGACTGACTGTTCTAACAGCGCCGGTCTCTCGCCGGACCCCCGCACCCCCGACTGACTGTTCTAACAGCGCCGGTCTCTCGCCGGAGCCCCGCACCCCCGACTGACTGTTCTAACAACACTGGTCTCTCGCCGGAGCCCCGCACCCCCGACTGACTGTTCTAACAGCGCCGGTCTCTCGCCGGAGCCCCGCACCCCCGACGGACTGTTCTAACAGCGCCGGTCTCTCGCCGGAGCCCCGCACCCCCGACGGACTGTTCTAACAGCGCCGGTCTCTCGCCGGAGCCCCGCACCCCCGACGGACTGTTCTAACAGCGCCGGTCTCTCGCCGGAGCCCCGCACCCCCGACGGACTGTTCTAACAGCGCCGGTCTCTCGCCGGAGCCCCGCACCCCCGACGGACTGTTCTAACAGCGCCGGTCTCTCGCCGGAGCCCCGCACCCCCGACGGACTGTTCTAACAGCGCCGGTCTCTCGCCGGAGCCCCGCACCCCCGACGGACTGTTCTAACAGCGCCGGTCTCTCGCCGGAGCCCCGCACCCCCGACGGACTGTTCTAACAGCGCCGGTCTCTCGCCGGAGCCCCGCACCCCCGACGGACTGTTCTAACAGCGCCGGTCTCTCGCCGGAGCCCCGCACCCCCGACTGACTGTTCTAACAGCGCCGGTCTCTCGCCGGAGCCCCGCACCCCCGACTGACTGTTCTAACAGCGCCGGTCTCTCGCCGGAGCCCCGCACCCCCGACTGACTGTTCTAACAGCGCCGGTCTCTCGCCGGAGCCCCGCACCCCCGACTGACTGTTCTAACAGCGCCGGTCTCTCGCCGGAGCCCCGCACCCCCGACTGACTGTTCTAACAGCGCCGGTCTCTCGCCGGAGCCCCGCACCCCCGACTGACTGTTCTAACAGCGCCGGTCTCTCGCTGGAGCCCCGCACCCCCGACTGACTGTTCTAACAGCGCCGGTCTCTCGCTGGAGCCCCCGCAGGCCTTCCCTGACTGTGCACTCTGGTGGGGGACGCCTGATGGAGAGAGGGAAGAGTTTTATCTCCAGGAGATAGGGAGCAAACTCAGCAAAGAACATTGTCCAAAAGAGAGAGGGAGCCTCACCCGTGTGCAGCAGGGCTTAGGATGTGTCAAGGGCATCACGGTCAGAGGGGGTCCTGGTCTTCGGGGAAGGCTGAGCTGCACAGTTCATGAGTGTTATGACTGCAGGATTTCAAGGCCTCACCGGTGCTCCTGAGCAGTGCTGCATCCTCAAGGGCGAAGCCGCATGCAGTTTTTCCAGTGCTGACTTGGCGCCTGGACAAGCACTTTTTAGAACATACCTGACACAGGAAACATTACAGGTGTACAGAGACACATTGGGTGTTTGTTTTTACTTTGCAAAAATCGGCTCTATCAGTGGCACTCTGGTCCTCCCACCATCCAGCCCCAAGCGTCTGCCTCCCCTTCGTGCAGTTGTTCCTAAGCCACTTTCTCATGCAGTCTTTCCTGCTTCATAACCCGGACACTGTGCTCGGCCTGGATGGACTCTCCTCTGCCCTCATCCTGCTCCGCCCGGGTCCCCTCCATGGGGCCTTCTCGAACTCTGTCAGCTGCGGTGCTCTCTTTCCTCTGAATTGCCAGTGTACTTTGTTCCTCCTCCTTCACACTTTCCAGCTGCTTTTTAATTATTTATCACCATGTCCATGTCGCTTCTGCTCTGTGAGTAGCTGTTTTACAGAACACAGTTTTTTCTTTGTTGTTGTTAGTGTTTGTAGAGACAGGGTCTCACTATGTTGCCTAGGCTGGTCTTGAACTCCTGGCCTCAAGTGACCCTCCCACCTCAGCCTCCCAAAGCACTGGGATTACAGGCGTGAGCCACCACACTCAGCTAAGAGCATGGCTTTATGAAAGAATCTCCCTCCCTGAGTGTCCAGTGCCATCTCACATCATCACAGTCACTTCTGGATGTTGGATACATTTTGTCAAAGTACTGATACTTGATTTTTTTTTTTTTTTTTGAGACGGAGTCTTGCTCTTGTCATCCAGGCTGGAGTGTAATGGCATGATCTCGGCTCACTGCAACCTCTGCCTCCTGGGTTCAAGTGATTCTCCTGCCTCAGCCTCCCAAGTAGCTGGTATTACAGGCACCTGCCACCTCGCCGAGCTAATTTTTGTATATTTAGCAGGGACAGGATTTTGCCATGTTGGCCAGGCTGGTCTCAAACTCCTGACCTCGTGATCCTCCCACCTCAGCCTGCCAAAGTTGATTCTTTTAAGTGCCAATCTGTGTGTGTAAATACAATTCACATTAGAGAAATTAAACATATCCTTACTTGACTAGAGTCTAGTCTCCCGTGGAAAATGACTTGGCATGATGAATTTTCTCAAAATGAACCCCTGGTGTGAATCTTCACCAGCTAAAAGCTCATATGCCATCTGTAACTGTTCCTTGCAAATGAAAACCCAGGGTTTACTATTCTTCAACCTTCTAACAGCATTTTCCTCTCAAATAGGAAGTCTGGGGCTTGCACCTTAAGAGTCATTCACGCTGGAAAAATACATTCTTTAGTCATTGCATTGGACCATTGGATTCAGACAGCATCTAGTTAGGTCTTCCCATGCTCTTTAAGGGAATTCTTAGTTGTTTTAAGATGAGAGATGAAGGCCCTGAGAAGTGAACTTTCCTAATTGACAAAGCTAGGAGGTAAAAACAGAACAAAATTTAGAAGTAAAAGCTATTTGTTACTCTTAGGAGTAACATTTCCCAGTACCTTTAGCTGGAAAAATGACTTTAAAAGAATTTCAATTTACTAAATTTATGATAAAAGTGGACATTAGAAAGATCAAATTATGACTTCTGTGTTTAATTAGCTTTCACATAAATTTCTCTTAGTATTATTAGAAGGTGTCACTTATTATTTGGAAATATATTTCTCACAGCCACAATTACTCTTCAAAAATGTAAGCTGGAAGGTCTTTTGTTGCATTAGATTTAGAGATATTGTTCACTGTAACAGAAAAATTGCATCCTCCTTCTAGTAGAAGCAGGGAAGAAAAACATGAGGTCTTCTGTTTTCCAAAAGAGACCGCGGTTGTTTATTTATTAGGAAAAAAACATAAACAGAAACTTGGATTTCTATTATATAGAAAAATAACTGATTTATCTGAGAGGGCAGCTTTATTATAAGTAGCTTTGTGTGGGATTAAATCAACAGTAACTATTGCAGTGACCCTTAAATCTTGAAACTCACACAATGAAAGAGAAATACAGCCCCCCTAGTAATAGAAGGAGTCATGGATTGTTGAAAGAAGTGAGCCAGGCGCGGTGGCTCACGCCTGTAATCCCAGCACTTCAGGAGGCTGAGGCGGGTGGATTATTTGAGGTCAGGGGTTCGAGACCAGCTTGCCCAACATAGTAAGACCCTGTCTGTACTAAAAATTCAAAAATTAGCCCGGTTCATTGGCACGCATCTGTAATCCCAGCTACTCGGGAGGCTGAGGCAGGGGAATTGCCTGAACTTGGGAGGTGGAGGTTGCAGTGAGCCGAGATCGTGCCACTGTACTCTAGTCTGGGTGACGGAGCAAACAGAGCCAGACTCTGTATAAAAAAAAAAAAGAAAAATGTGGAAGGCTCAGGAGATGATGTAAATCTTAATTCTCAAAATAAATAGTTGTAATAATAAGACTTTCATTAACTTGAGCTCTCAGTTTCCTTGTCCCCCTACACTGCTTTTAGGTGAAGGAAATAAATAAGGTGCTGTTGGGGATTTTGAAAGCCTCAGGGAATGAGCCACCGTCAGCAGGAACTTTATGCCCTTTCCTGCTGACACACGGCATCCCAGCCACGCTGGGGATCATGGAAACCATATTCCAGGTATCCTGCACGTCAGCCAGCTTTCTGACCTGTAAGCAATGGAAACCTCCTTTGGCAGTTTGAGGCACCAGTGAGTGGCTCTCAGAACCACCAAGGGAGTAGGACCAGCGTTGGGAACCTGCCTATGGGAACCGCTTGTGCAGCAGCTTGTTCTTGTGAGGACACCACACCTTGAAGTCTGCACTGCTGACCTTGTTCCTGGACACGAGACTTCCCCACCAGCATGGCATTCCCCAAACCTGGATCGTGTCTGGACACCTTCACTGCCGACAGCAAGAGCCCGATTGGTTTGTGCTGTAAATGGATGTGACTGGTTGATCGTCTCCCCACACCCTAGCTTCCAGGAAGGCTGGGAAGGGACTTCTGGTATTTTTACTTCCTACAGAGCCACAAGGGCTCTGTATTCAAACAGGACTCAAAAAGTGGAGGAGTTCTCCCGATACAGGAGGACGGTTGAGATGTATGGTGACCAAAGTGTGGCAGCGGTGGCTGCTCCCACCCCTCCCTTTCGCCATCCAGCATCACTGTGTTCTCGTCCTGCCCTTACGCATCTCCATAGCCCCAGGAAGCCACCGTGATGCAGCTGCTGCTTTTACGTCTACTCAGGCACTTGCCCTTCATGCAAAGGGGAGACAAGCCGAAGCCTCTGGAATTACCATGACCGTCATCAAACCCACGACTTCCTAGGCGATGCCTCCTCTTTCTCTGGTTCCATCACTGATATTCTGTGATCTACAGATGGAATTGTAAAATTTACAATTGAGGGATGAAGAGAGAGAAAAGAAGAGGAACATTCGAATTCTACCAGTGTTTTTGGATGTCTCACGTGCCCTAGGCACTGATGGACACTGCACTGAACAGATAATCATGTTGGATCTGCAAGGTGCTAAGTGAGTCTTTCCATCTGTCTCCAGGAATGTTGGAGTCACCGCTGGAAGAGTCTTAGGGACCCAGGAGATCATGATGAGGGTCTGAGGGGTGTAACTGCACAGCTTCAAGTGTTCGCCTGGCTTTCAGCAAGGGATTCTCTATCGCAGTCACAGAACATGCCTGGCTTTTAGTCTATGTCTTGAACCAAAAAGCAAGAATCTGAGTTCATCATTCACTCAGTAAGTTCAACAAAAACAGCCGTGCCGTGTCACGTCTGGGTGCTTTCATCTGCTCTGTGGCTTGGCAGCCCCTAAACTAAAGCCTTCCCACGCCCTCTCTCTAAAGTGTCAGAGCATGGCGTCCAGGCTGCCAGCCTCATGGTGCTTTCCGCACAGCTACTCAGCTCTGCTGTGCCACTCAAAGCAGAAACAGGCAATATGTAAATGAGCAGGCATTGCCGTGCTTCAGTCAAACTTTACGAAAGCCAGTGTTTGGCTGGTCCTGATGACCAGCTTGCTGGTAGACGGCCTGAGCTGAGTTCACACTGTCTGTGGCCCCCACCCCACCAGTAATCCATTCCAGAACCCCCATTTCCTGACAGTTTGTCACCTGCATCAATGCCTGATGACAACATACAGATCCATCCATTTGATGCCAACCATAGAAACAAGCTCAATGTGATTTTTGCAAATTTATTTTTTAAATATTTTGGAATTCCATTTTTTATTGAGATGTAGAAGTCACAAGAGACTCTTGTTCCAACCATAACCGTCGGAACAATCTGGTTAATACACAGACTCATCGTTTCTAAGATCCATCAGAGAGCTGAAGACTCAAATGTAGATGAATTACATTTCTTCCTAGGAGAAAAGAGACCTGTATGTGGTTTTTCCCATGGCAGAGGAGCCAGGAGAAAGAATTTACCATAAAAAATGATAAAGCAAAAAGTTTCTGAACTTTTTAAAAAACATAAATGGCAGTATGTTATTTGCAAGGTAGATGAGAATCCCAGGGGAGTCCTAAAAGTGGATGCATTTTCTCTGAGGCACTCTGAACCTTTAGTGTGCAAAAGGCAGGGGCTCCTGAGGGCTGGGAGGTGAGCAGGAAAGCCGCTGGCTCCCGCTCGAGGGTGGCCTGGATCACCCAGCAGAGCCCTGGCTACCCTCCAGGGCAGCCCAAATCACCGTGGGAACTCCACTCACACTTCAACAATGGAGGTGGGATGAGGGCATAGCACATCCCTCTGCAGCGCCCTTGCCCTTCACCATGTGTAACGTATTTGCCTTCCAAAGGCTGGGAGTGTGGCAGTGGAATAGAGGAAGCTGGGGGTGAGACTGAAGAGAGAATCACCCAGTTACCTAAAGTGGGTGGAAGGTCTCCTACTGTTTGGAAAGCAGATCTCTCGCCGTGAAGCATAGAAGACATCCAGTGTCAGTGTTCAGGCCCAGCATCCGGATCCTGCCCATAGGCTTGTAAATTCTTTTCTGGGGGTAAATGTTATTTAATCTTTACTGTTCTTTTAAATACAATCTTCGTTTTTCATAAAACATTGTGTTATATAATCAAAATTTAAAAGACCTGCAAAGAAGCAAGAGAAATGGACTCATGTTCATGAGAGGAGATGGCCCTAGAAAGAGTCAGTAGAAGAGACATGCTGCAATTATCAGAGACTTCGAAATAGCTGTGATAGGTGAGGCCAGAAATTCGTTGAAAAGGTGTACAACATCTATGAAGAGGTGGGGGGTATTGCAGAAAGATAAAAACTATGAGAAAAAACAAAATGGAAATGCTGGAAATGAAAACTAGTATTAGAAATAAAATTCCCATGGTTTAATAGGAGACTAGATACAGCAGAGGAAAGACTCATTGAATGAACTTGAAGTCTGACCAATAGAAATGACCTAAGCATAAAACAAGGAGAAAAGGCATGAAAATACAGTGGAACAGAGTGTCTGAGGCCCGTGGGTCTAACATACCTGTAGTGATCGGAGCCCCAGAAGGAGCGGTGAGAGAAAATGGGGCAAGAGAACAATTTGAAGACCTATGGCCAGGAGTGAAGGGAAGAATCAACACAAAGATTCAAGAAGCTCAGTCAACTCCAGGCAGAGTAAATGAGAAGAATCACACCCAGATGCTTTGTTGTCCAAACACCGAAAGTCAGTGGCAGAGTCAATCTTAAAGTCCCTGCAGAAATAAAACTAAGTAGGGGGAAGTAATAAAAACAACACTGAGTTCTCATCAGAAGTGCTGGAAGCCAGAATACAGTGGAGTGGTGCATGCAGGCTGCTGAAAGAGCTGTTTCTTCTGCAGGAGATCCTTCAGAATGGAAGAGAAAAGCAGATACTTAGCCAACCTAGAGAATCGTTCAGCAAATACGTGTCACAAGAAATAGTAAGAATGTCTCAAGGATGAAAATAAATGATAGCAAAATGAAGCCCAAATTTTTAAGAAGAAATGAAGAATACTGAAAAGAGTAAATACAAGAAAACGTTTTAGAATCTGTCAATATGTAGACATGTAAATATTTTTAGTTTGTTTTAAAAGTATTAACTGTTTAAAAATATGAACAGCTGAGGTGTTCGTAGCATGTGTAGGAATAACAGATGAGACAACAGGAAGTTGGGCCCCGGAAATGCACTGCTGCAAGAATCTTCATTTTCATAGCACATAACACTGTGTGAAGATAGAATGCAATAAATCATTCAAAAAATACACAGAGGGTAAAGTGAAATACCACAAATATTCTATTCATGAGAAAAGGAGGCAGGAAGGGAGGAACAAAGAAAGGGACAAGTAAAGAACCAACAGCAATCGCACCAATAAGGACGTGAAAAGTAAATGAACTGTGGATGATGTGATTGCTGAGGTCAGAATGTCTGTGTCCCCCTCCAAAACTTCTGTGTTGAACTATAATCCCTAATGCAGTAGTATAAGACATGAGGCCTTTAGAAGGTGATTAGATCATGAGGGTGGAGCCCTCACGAATGGGACTTCCACCCTTATAAAAGAGGCCTAAAGGAACATGTTCATCCACTCTGCAGGTGCCTCAATCTGGGACTTGCTAGACTCCAGAGCTGTGAGTAGCCGTTACCTAGTCTAAGGTATTTCACAGCAGGCGGAGCAGACGAGCACAGAGGGACTCGTATCGCCAGACCCAGCCTCGTCCTGATGCCTTCCCATGTGCAGGAGAGGCAGGCACTGGCCACAGACCATGGGAAGGACGGCGTCCAGCTGCTGGGTGATCCGGTGCAGCACAGGGAGGGCCAACCTCCCTCTCAGGCTTCTTTAAGGAAATCCTGGCTGGTGCCGAGTTTAGAAAGATGAGTTAGCGGTGACGAGACCGGGGAGGGAAGAGCACTCTGGAAGCTGAGCTGAAGCCCCTGCAACTTCAGAGGGGTCAGGAAAGATGGGAAGAGGCCAGGGTGGCTAGAAAGGGAGGACGACGGAGGGCTGCACCAAGCACTGGTCCTTTTCCCAAGATCAGTGGGAAATTGTTACAGGGCTTAAGGCAGGGACCTGTCATATTTAGCTACTGGTTTTGAAAAGATCACTGGGAGTACATCATTAAGGCTTCTCTAAGCCGGTAACATTTCCACAGCCCCCAGATTTTAATGCAAATATAAAAATTCTTCTGGAAATAGGAGTACAAAGAAGTAGTCAAATTTTGTGTCATTTTCCTTTCCATTTGAAGAGTGTCATTTGCCTGGAGACATACAACCCAAACCTTTTCTCGTCTTCTCAGACTTACCTAGTGTACTACATAAGCCCAGTATCAGGTCTTTGGAGTTTGTTCGTTCTTTCACACATTTCTATTTACTATAGCCCTATGTGCAAGTACCAGGTTGTGCTAATATTATGGTGTGTGAATTGCTGAATAGTAAAATCACCAGTCAGCTTAAATGCTAAAATTAGTGCTGTTTTGTGTTTTCTGTGCTGATATTTGGGGTGTGAGTCTGTATATCTTCACCTGAGATTTAAATATAACTCATTTGTTCAATAAGCACTTAATACCTAATTGATATAATACTTCTGTGTCAGTAAGAAAGTTATTTTTTGGTATATACATTTGTCCCTCAATGGGGGACAGGTTTCCAGACTCCCTGTGGATACCTAAGTCTGCAGATGCTCAGGTCCCTGCTGGAAAATGGCGCAGCATTTGCATAGAACCCATGCACATCCTCCGTGTACTTTAAATCATCTCTAATGACTTGTGATGCCGAATACGATGTAAATGCTGTGTAAATAGTTGTACTGTATCATTCAGAGAATTATGACAACAAGTCTGTGCCTGTTCAGGTGCAGTTTTTTCGAATATTTGGGATTCAAGGTTGGTTAAATCTAAACATGCGAAACTCACAGATATGGAAGGCTGACTGCTTAACATTTTTATTATATAACTGGATTTTAATGTGAATCCTTTTTTCTCGTTCATATAACTTGGAATTTCAAAAATGCTTTATCTTTGTTTCTGAATGAGCTTTAGTTGGAATGGGTTAATGCTGTTTGTCTGTGGGTCCTTTATTGCAAGTATTTGATCCTTAAATACTGAGGGGCACTCTTTTGCATTAGGGATCTCCGTATTTAAGGGAACACTGGCTAGCATTCTTTGGCAATATGAAGATTTTGTTAAATACTCCCTCAATATGTATCTTGAAATTTCAGACTTTTTACCTCAGGGGTTTTATAATTTGGAAGCAGCTATATCTTACCTCTTTATCTCCTTCATGTATTCTTCTCTATTAATGCTTAGGC